>NC_000015.10:89168550-89320066 GCF_000001405.40 Homo sapiens | reverse complement strand
AGTGGATAAAGTGAGGTCGGGTAAGGCTCATACCGTGAGCAGCGTGTGCTGGTGGAGGCGAGAAAGGTGGTGGGGCTTTAGTTGTGGACACCTTTGAAAGTGTCACAGGAGTTTGGACTGTGGGTGCAGGTGGTGGGGAAGCCATTTATGCGAGTGACGTGTCTCTGGAGCCTTCAGGCGACAAGCCTTGTGAGGTCTGCAGGTTAGATGGAAGCTGGGAGTTGTCTAGGGTTGTGGCAGTTGAGAGGGGTAAGCCAGGCCTGGCTGTTGTGTTTTCTGCTTCAACAAATGCCCCCTCCCCTTCAGGGAGTAGCCTATTCTTACCCCTATCCCCCCAAATCTAGAGTGATGGCCCTTGCTGCCTCCTGAATAAAAGGCCCGTGTTGGTCATTGGGCAATTCAGTGTCTAAAGAAACAGGACAGTAGGAATAGTGGTGCCTCCTGTGCTGGAGTCTTTGTCCTTTATTGGGCTACCATGGGGTGGCCCAGGCTTTGGGGCTACAAAAGCCTGGGCTGCATCTCTTTCTAGCTCCATGATCCTAGGCAAGGCACTTAGCCTCTCTGAGCCGTTTCTTCCTCTGAATAAAAGCCTTTAGGGGACTGGCATGATGTCAGTGTTTTTAAAAGTTGAAGTGATATGTGAACATTCCTTGCCAAGGCACTAGCGTGGCACAGGAAGCACTCCCGTGGAATGATGGTGATAACACTGCCCCCAGGTATCGGCTGTCGGATGAGGGCGAGTGGCTGGTGAGGGAGTTGAACCTCCCAGTGGACAGGACTGAGGGTGGCTGGATTTCCCTGCAGGATCTGCGCAAGGTCCAGAGAGAAACTGCAAGGAAGTAAGAACCTTCTTTGTGTTAAGGATGGAGGGAGGGGTCTGGGCTTGCCCCAGAAGAGCTTGGATGCTTTGTTTTTTAGCTTTGAGATGCTGAAAGACAAAGTCTGCCCTCTGTTTCTGGTCCCTTAGGTCACAGTGGAAGAAGTGGGAGGTGGTTGCTGAACGGGCATGGAAGGGGGGCACAGAGTCAGAAATGTTCAATAAGCTTGAGAGCATTGCTACGTCTGACATACCACGTACCCCGGTGCTGGGCTGCTGCATCAGCCGAGCCCTGGAGCCCTCGGCTGTCCAGGAAGAGGTATCTTGCTACCTTTGGAGCATGGGCAGAGGGGCCCCAGGGAGGGCAGGGCAGAGCTCCCTGTGGACCTTACCAATGTTTGTAGGTAGGGCCAGAGTGAAGCTTCTCTTGGGGCTTCTACCCTGGAGTTAATTGGTATGTAGCATAGCCCCTTTCACCTCTGCCCACCTTCCCTTCCCAGTTTATGACCAGCCGTGTGAATTGGGTGGTACAGAGCTCTGCTGTTGACTACTTACACCTCATGCTTGTGGCCATGAAGTGGCTGTTTGAAGAGTTTGCCATAGATGGGCGCTTCTGCATCAGCATCCATGACGAGGTTCGCTACCTGGTGCGGGAGGAGGACCGCTACCGCGCTGCCCTGGCCTTGCAGATCACCAACCTCTTGACCAGGTATGCGGGGCCCATGGCCTCTAGCCTGGCCATGTGCTCCTATGTGGGGCTTTGGGTGAGCGTTCCTTGGGCCAGACTGGTCAGTTTTGACTTTTCATCCCCCTAGAAGTGAATGTTTCAGCTTATTTATTTATTTCTAATTTTTAAAAAGTTGTAGAAGTCCTAAAAAGACTAGCCTCAATTCGTAAAAAAAGAGTTATTGGGTTTGAAAATGTGAAATACCAAGACTGATCATTGAGGGAAGCAGTGAGGTTAGGGGAATTGTTCCGAAGGGTGGTACTCACGCTTTTCTATTTGGAAAATCAAATGACAGAAGCCTTTTCTCATTTCATAGAAAATTGAGATGTTTGTTTTTCTTTCTCCCATAAATGTTTTCTTTCTTAAGTAAGTGCCAAAAGTTTGTTATTTGACTGCTAACAGAAAACACTGTTAATGGGGACACTCAAATGTGATTTTTAAAAATATCTTATATATTTTATATATTGAGTTGTATTTTCTTGTAGTAAAATTCCTAGTTCATATGGATGAATTAAATATTACCGTTCCATGTTGATCTGCCACTCAGAACCAGTTTGGGAACCATGATCTATCCTGATTATTGGGTAAATAACAGATGTTTACAATATTCAACATTGTTCCCATTGCCCTCTTAATCATCATCTCCGGGAGGTTATGCTTAACAAAGCTAAAAGTCCTCATTTATGCTTCAAACTCTGGCCCAATTGGAAGTGATTTCGTATATTAATTAATAAAGTGTACCAAACTGGGAAAAAAAAAAAAAGTATGTTGAGTCCATAATTGCATTTCAGTATCTCAGTGGGAGGTTAGGCTGCTGGATGGAAAACAGTGCTGGACCTTCACCTTTCTTGACTTAGCTAAGTGAACAGATGGGGTGTTGGTCCAGGGGAAGCCCTGCTCTAAGGGGTGTGGGGTCATTGCTCCAGGAGTGATGCATCTGTTCACAGGAGGGGCATGACTGTGAGAGTAGATTGGGTCTCTTTCAGGTGCATGTTTGCCTACAAGCTGGGTCTGAATGACTTGCCCCAGTCAGTCGCCTTTTTCAGTGCAGTCGATATTGACCGGTGCCTCAGGAAGGAAGTGACCATGGATTGTAAAACCCCTTCCAACCCAACTGGGATGGAAAGGAGATACGGGATTCCCCAGGGTGAGCACAACACATTTGTTCCTCATTACACATAGGATCTGAGGTGGACTAGAAAGTGGGTCTTGGAGAACAGGAAACTTGGGGCCCCAGAGAATCCACTCTTGACTCAGGCTATATTCTAGGCTAATTTCAGTTTATAAGGTGCCCTGTGTCCAGAGTGAATGTGATATGATGTTTCAGAAATGAAGGCAGCAGAGCTTCAAATATTCTACCTGTACCTGTCCCCTACTTCAACCACAGAAGAAATGTTTAAAGATAATTTATTCTATAGAGTGCATTCTTGCACTCTATAGGTGACAGAAAAACAAACTGTGCTTTAAATACCAAACAAGTAAATCAGAAAGCTTATTTTCTATTTAAAATATATCTAAGACACACTTATATAAAAAGAAAACAGACCCTCCTAACATGTAACATTACCGTTCGTGGCAATTGTTCTCAACCTTTCACTCTCCTTTTGACCTTAGCATTAAGCTCCTTTGCTCACTTCTGAGCTCTCAGTTACAGTTCTTGAGGTGGCATCCTAACCAATTTGCACTATCTTTCAGGTGAAGCGCTGGATATTTACCAGATAATTGAACTCACCAAAGGCTCCTTGGAAAAACGAAGCCAGCCTGGACCATAGCACTGCCTGGAGGCTCTGTATTTGCTCCCGTGGAGCTTCATCGGGGTGGTGCAGGCTCCCAAACTCAGGCTTTCAGCTGTGCTTTTTGCAAAAGGGCTTGCCTAAGGCCAGCCATTTTTCAGTAGCAGGACCTGCCAAGAAGATTCCTTCTAACTGAAGGTGCAGTTGAATTCAGTGGGTTCAGAACCAAGATGCCAACATCGGTGTGGACTACAGGACAAGGGGCATTGTTGCTTGTTGGGTAAAAATGAAGCAGAAGCCCCAAAGTTCACATTAACTCAGGCATTTCATTTATTTTTTCCTTTTCTTCTTGGCTGGTTCTTTGTTCTGTCCCCCATGCTCTGATGCAGTGCCCTAGAAGGGGAAAGAATTAATGCTCTAACGTGATAAACCTGCTCCAAGGCAGTGGAAATAAAAAGAAGGAAAAAAAAGACTCTATCTTCTCATCAAAGCCTTTGTTAGTCATGCTTTCCCCACTTTCCCACTCACAGGAGGTAATTATGTTGTTGAAGAAGAGGAAGGAGTCCTCCAAAGTGTAGAGTAATAAGACAGTGGCACCTCCTTTTAGGACTTTTGCTATACTGAGGATACTTATGGGACAAAATGACAAGAGAAGAAGCCATTGACATCAAAATGCTACATGACTCTCCTGAGTGCAGCTGCCAAGTGGGTAAAGAGAGTGGATGGGGCCAGGTACATTAGAGCCTGGAGTGTGATCATCTGAAGAATGCATGTTCAAAATTCTGAAATCCAGGGCACTTGTATGTAAACTTCCAGTTTTGAAATGGGAGTGGGCTACTGATTTGCTACTTATTAGACAAACCTAAGATGAAAATTTTAGGTGCTAGAAGTAAGGAAACATTGGGTTCTGTTTCAAAGGTGGTGCAGGGATGGGGATGCGGTACTGTCACTTGCTAAGAGTAAAGGGAGAGGAACAAACCACAAGGGAAAAGGACAAGACATTGGCATGAATTGAAGGAAGAAGCCTTAACCCAAACTAATGAGTGGCCTTTGAATGAGGGCATGACATGAGAGGTAAACTAGTTTCTGAGCCAGACTGCTATAGCTGGTCATCATCCAGTAGTTTAAAAGATTAACAGGAAGAGGACCCACAGCAGGACATTGTTTTGTTACCACCTGCTTCCTGGAAGTGTTTATCAAACAAGTCGGGGCAACTTCATAGGATTTTGTGTGGTCCAAAGTTTACAACCCTTCTGAGAGTCCTTTGCTCTCATCTTTGCCTGATCACCTTTTAGCCCTTTCCCATTCTGTTGCCCTTCCACTAATCTGTGACTGCTCCCAGATAGGCTGCTAACCAGCTAGGAAGAGTGGCTGGGCTCCAGACAGAAGCCAGCACTGACCTCTTCATTTTCATCTTCACCATCCTCTCGAAGAACCATGTCTAGGATGTTTCCTTTGATCTTGAAGTCTCGTGAGGTGCTGAGCTTCATGTGCTGCATCAGGTTCACCTATGACAAGATTGTAAGCATGGGACATCTCCCTACTCATAGGTCCTGCCAGAACAGCTTAAGCCATTTTTAGTTCACCTCTGAGAAACCTTTCCATTTCTACCTAAAGCAAGCACGCACCCACTTCCTTCTGTATGCTGGGGTTCAGGTCATCAGATCAAGAACAGCAAAGAGGCTGAGTGTGGTGGCTCATGCCTGTAATCCCAGCACTTTGGGAGGCCAAGGTGGAAGGATCACTTCAGGCCAGGAGTTTGAGACCAGCCTGGGCAGCATAGTGAGACCCCATCTCTACAAAAACAAACCCAAAAAACTAGTGGGGTATGATGGCATATGACTGTAGTCCCAGCTACTCTGGAGGCTGAGGCCAGAGGATCACTTGAATGTGCACTCCAGCCTGGGTGACAGAATGAGACACAGTCTCAAAAAAAAAAAGGGGGGGGGGGGGAGAGGGGGGATGGCAAACACACAAATGGCCCAGAGTCTCTTTTCCTCCATTGTAGTTGTGCTGCTTCAGTTTGCCAGATCTGTCAAGAAGGTAAATGGGAATGGTAGCACATAATAAGAGAATGTTTACCTTGGACTTCTTAGAAAGGTGGATGAGAAATTTTTCATACTGTTCTATGGCAAAGATGAGGTTAGGGATTGGCTTGGTTTCCCGAAGAACTCTGGCCTAAGGGCAAAGAACATAAGACTTAAATTTCAGGTTCAATGGTTTTTGAAGTTTTCCTCTGAAGCTGTCACTTACAAAACTGTATGGCTTTAGGGGAAAACTAGTCTGTCTCCCAATCAAATGCAGTTGTATACCAGTAATCTAAAATTTTTGGCAGTTCAATCTGGAAGGACCCAAATGCCAGTAGAGATAATTGCACTGATCCATTTCATTTATAATTCCAGTATTTGTTGTTATCTAGAAAATGGCTGAGGAGGGCAGGATCACTTGTAGAAATTTAGTTGCTTTTCTGACTTGAAATTCTTAAGCCTATTTTGGCCCTAGCTCTATTTCCTTGTTCTGGTCTGGGTATGAATTTTCACTGCTGGGATTATATATCTTTCCCCCTAACGTGAATTGTAATTTGTAGGTTCTACGTGTGTGTGTGTGTGTCTTTCCCCCTAACGAAAGGTCCTACATTTTTGTGTGTGGTCCTACGTTTTTGTGTGTGTGTCTTTCCTCCTAACGTGAATTGTAATTTGTAGGTCCTACATTTGTGTGTGTGTGTGTGTGTCTGTGATTATATATCTTTCCCCCTAACGTGAACTGTAATTTGTAGGTCCTACATTTGTGTGTGTGTGTGTGTGTGTGTGTGTGTGATTATATATCTTTCCCCCTAACGTGAATTGTAATTTGTAGGTCCTACGTGTGTGTGTGTGTGTGTGTGTGTGTATTTTTAACCCATGAGGATACTGTACAAATTTTTTTTAACATTATCTTGGAGATAATTCCAGAGAGCTGAACATTTAGATGTTTATTTTTTTCATATCTCTCCAGTATAAATATATTATAACCTATTTAGCCAGTCCTCTATTAATGGATATCTTTGTTTCTAATATTTCACTTTTATAAATAATGTTGTGAGGACCATCCTGTACACAGGCCTGTATATCCTAAAAGTGAAACTGCTACATCAGAATGGGATTCAGTAGTCATTGCTAAGCCTCTGGAGAGGCTGTACTAATTTTCACCTTTGCCAGCAATGTACTAAGTGCCTCCTTTCCTGTACCCCCGCTGACTCTTACACATCTTTTAGGGAGCACCTTTTGCATTCACCAACTTTACCTAAAAATAATTTCTCCCAATTGAGTATCGTAAGTTATTTTACTATTTCCATTTCAACTCAAGATTTTCTGGTGCTTCGTGAATAAAACATGTTTTTGGTTCAGAGGAAAAATAAGATGCTCCATCTGATCATAAAATCCCTGAGTTGAGAAGCAGCCATGTATATAATACACACAATTTTTTCTAACAGCTTGATAGAGCTGTAATTCATATACCATACAATTCACTCACAATGTACTTTTTTTTCAGTATTTGCAGAGTTGTGCAACCATCATCACAGTCAATTCTAAAACATTTTCATCACCCCCAAAAGAAATTCCATACCGTTTTTAGCTGTCACCCCAGTCTCCCCATCTTCCAACCCACCTAGCTCTACGCTACCACTAATCTAGTTTGCCTTTTTAGATGATTTATTCTGGGCACTTCATGAAAATGGAATCATACAACACGTGGTCTTTTTGTCACTGGCTTCTTCCGCTTCATGTTTTCGGGTTCACCAACAAGCATATTTTAACGGTCAGTGTCAGCAGCTTACCATGGCTGTGGCAACGGCAGCAGGTTTCTCCTTTTTCTCTCCCGTATAGTTCAGGCTCTTACTCTTATTCTAAAGAAATAGAAACACATTCTCTTATTCCTGATGATTTTTCTGTGGAGCTAGCATGCTAGTGCTAATTTTTTTTTTTTTTTTTTTAAGACAGAGCTTTGCTGTCACCCAGGCTGGTGTGCAGTGGCGTGATGTCGACCCACTGTAACCTCTGCGCCCCGAGTTAAGTGATTCTTGTGCCTCAGCCTCCCGAGTAGCTGGGACTACAGGCACGTGCCACCACACTCAGCTAATTTTTGTATTTTTAGTAGAGACGGTGTTTTGCCATGTTGGCCAGGCTGGTCTCGAACTCCTGGCCTCAGGTGATCTGCCGGCCTCAGCCTCCCAAAGTGCTGGGATTACAGGCCTAAGCCACCATGCCCACCAACTAGTGGCAATTTTCTTAGAAGGTAATTACACAGGGTATGAGGACCAAGTCTGGAGTAAACAGGACTATCTGTGCAACAGATGTTAGAAGATAGGGAAAAAATGGATGCTTTGTAATCCTCAGATATTTTTTCTTTTTTAGTTGTTGAGAGGTTTACAATCTGTTGTTCTTAGAGCTGGCACATGGAAGTTGAAGGCAGGACTATTACTGCAGTGGGTCAGCCAAGGGGCTGGTGAGGTACTAAAGAATGGTTAAAATGGGGACTGTCAAGGTGGTAGCAGGAATATTCATTTCTATTTCTATTTTAGCCAGTGGGCTAGAAGGATCCCATAAAGGAGAGGAAGCTGAGGAGGCTGCTGCAGGGCCCTGCAGTCTTCCCACTTACAGGCAATCACCAGATATATTTTATTTTCGTTACTCAGCAAAGCCAAAACCAGATATATTTTATGTGCAATGGGTTATCATGCTCAAGAAGGGTTAAAAGGGTCACAGAACACTTCCCTGTGTTGTAAATTATTGGGTAATAAAGAGCTCCTGGAGAGGGATGAATAACTAATAAAAGGAACCAAAAAGTGTAAGATTCTGATAAAGCAAAAGAAAATCAAGACTTGAGTCAGGAGAGACTGGGGAGAAAAACCACCCAAATGTAAGGTACGGTACAGAAATGTAGGCAGCTTTTTACCTCAAGGGGAGTTCTAAACCTTCTTAGGAAGGGAACATACCATGCTCCACGAGGGCAACAGAATAAAGAAACAGACCTGAAAATACAGAGAGGCTCTGCAACTGGAGCCATGAGAGAAACAGGAGACTTGTTCCACATGCCACGTTCTGGAAAATAAGGAACTGCAGACATTCCAGAGGGGCTGGTATGCAGTAATCTGTTTTTGGCCCTGGAAGGCAGGGTAGAGCATGGAAGAGGGTGAAGGCAGCAGAAGAGGGCAAGGAAGCAGTCACGGATCGACCTCACTGACCAAGTGGGAAGTGAACCATCTTCCCAGAGGTTGTGTCCAAGATGGGGCCCTGTTGGAACTCCTTAGATCAACCCTGTTCCCTGCCCATTCCAACTGATCCGGGCGGGCAGGACTAAAATTAGAGCCAGAAGAGAAGCATCTTTTTTTGAGGTGGAGTTTCACTCTGTCGCCCAGGCTGGAGTACAATGGTGCGATCTCAGCTCACTGCAACCTCTGCCTCCCAGGTTCAAGCGATTCTCCTGCCTCAGCTTCCCGAGTAGCTGGGATTACAGGCACGCACTACCATGCCCGGCTAATTTTTTTTTTTGAGACAGAGTCATGCTCTGTTGCCCAGGCTGGAGTGCAGTGGTGTGATCTCATCTCACTGCAACCTCCACCTCCCGGGTTCAAGCAATTCTCCTGCCTCAGCCTCCCGAGTAGCTGGGATTACAGGCGCCTGCCACCATGCCCAGCTAATTTTTGTATTTTTTTTAGTAGAAATGGGGTTTCACCATGTTGGCCGGGCTAGTTTCGAACTCCTGACCTTGTGATCCGCCTGCCTCAGCCTCCCAAAATGCTGAGATTACAGGTGTGAGCCACCGTGCCCTGCTATTTTTTGTATCTTTAGTTGAGACGGGATTTCACCATGTTGGCCAGGCTGGTCTCAAACTCCAGACCTTGTGATTCTCCCACCTCGGCCTCCCAAAGTGCTGGGATTACAGGCATGAGCCACCATGTCCGACCCTTGAGAAGCATCTTTTAAAGGTATACAGTTCTGGGCAGGATGCTAAGAGTTGCAGCAATGGTTTTCGTTGCTTTCTTCCCATTGAGATCTAAGGAACTGGGGAAATGAAGAGGGGGCTACAAGAGAATTAACAGTTCACTGAGAGGTGTGGAAAATGCAATCCCCATTTCTAGTTAAGAGCTGGAGTTAATGGAACCATGCATGGGCTCTTGCCCAGGGGGCACTCATTAAATACATCTCACAAAAACAGAAAAATGTAAAATGTTTGCCTGCAGATCAGCTGACTTGTCAGTAAGGCTTTAAGTCAAATATGGATGGAGGAGGAGGAAAATGCCTAGGGAGGAAATGAAACTGATTACTGTGTAATGAGGGGAAAATAATAGCAGTCTAGGAAGTAGTAGTGATTCCCAGAAGAAAATGCTTGAAAATGGGGTCAGAAACACGAAAATCAAAACCTTCCAACATTTTACATGTCAACAAGTACCAGGTATGACTCTAGAGCAATGGTTGACTGACTATAGCCCATAGTATAAATCTGGCCCACTGCCTGTTTTTGATAAGAAAATTTCATTGGAACATAGCCATGCTCGTTTATTTGTAAGTTATCTATGGCTGCTTTTATGTTCTAATAGTAGAGTTGAGTAGGTGTGATAGAGACTGTATGACCCACATTTACTATCTGGCCCTTTACAGAAAAAGTGTGCCAATTCCTGCTATCGAGTCTAACTAGCTGGGTTCAAGTCTCAGATCTGCCTTTTACTCATGGTCTGTTCTTGGGCATTCTGATTAACCTTTCTCATCATGCATATGGGGATAACTACTAATCATAACCTATAGCTAGGATGAATGAGATGATGTATGAAAAGAGCTTAACACATCAGACACAAGGTAGAGGTTCTCTAAGCATTACCTGTTCTAATAAAATTATTAGACAATGTGACTTTTGAATCATAACAAGGGTAGTAAATAGCATTTAACAGCAGTATTTCCCAAACTGTACTCTATGGAACATTATTCTGCCAAATAGTAACATTTGTTATTTTTTTAAAAATGTTCTTGAATAGGTCTGAAAACTACTAATGAACATACTGTTGGAACTCTCAGCACTGTTTTTATTTTTCTTGAGACAGGGTCTCACGCTGTTGCCTTGGAGTACAGTGGCATGATCATGGCTCACTGCAGCCTTCAAGTCCTAGGCTCAAGTGATCTTCCTGCCTCAGCCTCCCAAGTAACTGGGACTATAGGCAAACACCTGGCTTAAATTTTAAATTTTTTGTAGAGACGGGGTCTCACTATGTTGCCCAGGCTGGTCTTGAACTCCTGGCCTCAAGTGATCTTCTTACCTCAGCCTCCATTAACCACCATGACTGGTCTCAGCACCTTTAATATGCAAATGGACACCACGAATCTCTAAGGTGAGAGATATACGGTATGAGCATCTCTCCCTGAATTCCTTTTTTTTTTGAGGACTGTCTCAGTCTATATAGCATATTTTGTGAAATGTGTCTTTATAGGTATCATTAAGACTTGGAGATGAGGAAACTCAAAACCCAAATATGGGAATGGACAGATATATATCCTATATATAGACAACAGATTTGTTTGACGAATGGCACCCACATGAAAATTTACAAGCATGAGGTTTGAGAAAGCATTCCTGCAAGCATTTGGGTGAGATAAAAGGAGAGGACCAGAAGTAATAGCTTTATGACAGTTGACTACTGGCTGGATGGCTGGATATAGAAAATGGATGATGCATTCCTGACCCAGATCACAAAACTGATACAAAGGCAAGGTGACAGAGAGTCTCAACTATCAGCCCATTACTAAGAACTCCTTCAGCTAAACCCAGATGACAGCCCACTTGATGGCTGATTCTTTATTTTTTTTTTTTTTGAGACGGAGTTTCGCTCTTGTTGCTAGGCTGGAGCACAACAGTGCGATCTTTGCTCACTGCAACCTCCGCCCTCCAGGTTCAGGCGATTCTCCTGCCTCAGCCTCCCAAGTAGCTGGGATTACAGGTGCCCGCCAGCATGCTCAGCTAATTTTTTGTATTTTTTGTAGAGATGGGGTTTCACCATGTTGGCCAGGCTGGTCTTGAAGTCCTGACCTCAGGTGATCCACCCGCCTCGGCCTCCCAAAGTGCTGCAATTACAGGCATGAGCCACTGTGCCCAGCTGATTGCTGATTCTTAAAGGGAGGGGAAGAGGCACCCTGAATACACATAATGAGGCAAGTTACTGATAGAATGATATTGTGCCTGTAAGTGATGCAGAGGCAGAAAACAAGTGAAGCATCACTACCAAAGTGGTCACGATCCATTGCTTTAATAATTGGTTCTAGAATCTTGGCTGAGATTGACACTTAGTGGACCCATTCTCTTTGATTCCTCAAAGATCAGTAACAGCCCTGTGATACATTTACTGCATGACTAAGTGGCCTTAGGAGACAGTAGATCTCTCGTTTCTTCCTCTTTCCAACGAGGGGTGATTCTGTCCCTTAAGGACAACTGGCAATTTCTGGAGACATTTTTGGCTGTTAAAACTAGGGGGCTGCTACTGGCATCTGGTAGGTGGAGGCCAGGGATGCTACTCAACATCCCAAAATGCACAGAACAGGTCCCACAACAAAGAATTATCTAGCGCAACATGTCAATAGTGGTGAGGTTAAAAAACTGGTTTAAGCAAACAGTAAAGGAGATTCAAGTACTGCAGGAATCTGATGGTATTTAGGACCAAATGACACTTACAAAGCCACGTCCTTCCACTTCCCTGAAAGTGCCCTCACTGCACTGCCGTCTCATCACAACCCTTCTTCATGTGCTTGCTGCTACTCTGCTCACATTCCCAGAGGATGCCTCATGGCATGGACTTTCAGTCACCCAGGAATAAACCAAGTCCTTGAGCCTGAGCATGCTTGTTCCTTCCTTGCTCCAAATGCAAACATATATGCTTCCTTTCTCCAAATTAAGTGAAACAGTTTTCTTTACATAAAGATGTCCTTGCTGCAAAGCCCTCAAGCCTTGGCTTGGTCTCTGATGGGTGCCTCCAGCTTGTGGTAAGCAGGGAAAAAAGTTTATATATGCTCAGTTCAGGTGATCAATAGTCCCCTGGGCATGTAAGAAATCCTTTCTTGAAGACCTATTGGGTACTGCCTCTGAATCTCTTACCTGTACGTAAGAAATGAAAGAATAACACAGGGGGGTCAGATGAGAACCAGACAGCTTCACCTGCACAACAAGGGAGAAGGAAACCAATGTAACCAGCAGTAAAAGTGCTTCCCCCATTCCTAGGAAAGGCATTCTCAACTCACCAGCTTTTCCATATTTTTTGGAATTCCTCCGGAGCTCTGACACACCTGGAGATACTAATAAAAAAAGATTCCTAGATTTAGTAGACTGTCCTATGAAACTACAAGTGACTGCTGCAGTGAGCCTATGGAGTGTGACTCATCATTCTGACTGAAGAGGAAAAACAAAATTCACAGAGAAGCCAAGACACAAGCTTCCTTATTCCTCTCCTCCAAAGCTCCTAAGCTTCCCAGACAATAAGTAATGAAGGGTTTGTTTCTGATTTGCTCATTTCTTTAAAAATTCCTCAGGCTGGTAGTCCCTGCATGTAAAAAACCAACAACTTTGCTGTTTTTCCTTTTAAAGATGCCAATAAAGAGAAGAGGCTCTCAGTATTTCCACTACAGCAGCTTAGCCACATGTAGCTAGAGCTACACATTCTGAGAGAGCCACACTGCTGTGATGCGGGGTGGTCCACATCTTTCTTGGATTATCTGTGCCTTTCTAAGTATTTAATATGGATCATTGCTAGGAACATAAACAGTAAGGGCAGGGTATGCCTTGTATTTTTATAAAAAATAATTTTCTTCCCCACCTTAGTATTTGATCTATAAGGCATTTAACACCTACATGTTAAAGGAATGAAAAAAGGAATAAACATCTCTTTAAGTGTCCAGACTGGTTAGAAATGGTATAATTTCTATGCATTATGGGCCCAGATTTAATTCTAGGATAGTTATAGTTTAGATTAAACCTTAGAAGGTATTTAAAAGAGGCATTCATTCTCAATCAGGTGCCACATACATGCCAAAGAATTAAGGGCCTCCAAAAGCAGATTTTTACTTTATTTTTTTAATTTTTGAGATGGAGTCTCACTCTATTGCCAACGCTGGAGTACAGTGGCACAATCTCAGCTCACTGCAACCTCCGCCTCCTGGGTTCAAGCGATTCTCCTGCCTCAGCCTCCTGAGTAGCTGGGATTACAGGTGCCCACCACCACGCCCAGCTACTTTTTGTATTTTTAGTAGAGACGGGGTTTCACCATGTTGGCCAGGCTGGTCTCGAACTCCTGACCTCAGGTGATCCGCCCGTCTCAGCCTACCAAAGTGCTGGGATTACAGGCATGAACCACCGTGACAGGCCCAAAAGCAGATTAGAATTATAAACTGTTTTTCCCTGGCCTGTGGAGATGCCTGCCACCTACTGACCAAACTAAAATGAAACCATGACCTGCCAAGATGGAGGCAAATGCTCTCTTGTTTAGGGGCATTCTGCAGCAGTGGGCTGCTGCCCCATCCTCATCTCCTGGCTCACTGGGGTAGAATGGTGGGGCGAATCTGCTTGTCTCAAATACTCACATATCTGACAAGGGCTGTAAGTGTGGTGTACATTTTGCACAAGTCCTTTAACAAGGTGTCCACACAGCTGCCTGATGGCAGAGCTGTCTGCACCAGCTCGTGGAAAAATGTAAGCAGAGTTCCCAGTTGCATGATGATAGCTTTCTCAACAGGCTGATTTGGTAGGGTTGCCTGAGAAGAGGCCTCTTCTAAAGGGAAATAAAATTGGCACATTCAAACCCAACTTCGTTTTCTAATTAAGAGTAAAGGAGATTTAGAAATTGATTACTACTAACTAGAAAGTCTTTATGGAAAAACGAACATTCAATATGCAGAGTGAATTAATCGTGCTGTGATAAGACATATGATCTTCTACTTCTTTCATCACATAGGAAAAAATCTAGCTTAAAGGCAAATAAGAAATTTAGCTCAGGGGCTCCATTTTTATGCACCGACCCAATATGAATTTTGACCTTGCTCATGTCAATTCCTGGAATCCCAGTTGAACTTATCTTACCTGATAAGGTTTCTTGGCTCACTTGTCCCTTAAGCTTGGTGATTAGCCAGTCCACTTCTTCTAGAACCTTCTCGGCCTGACTCAGAACAAGTAACTGAAAGAAAAGAGTGCCTGGTGTGATTCACTACACACAGCTGTGGGGGTAATATAATAACTGTGGTCACCTGGCCACCTACAGGTGGGTTACAGGCCTCAGGACACAAGCCGCTATAGGACACAAGTCACTTCACATGGAGTAGAATGGAAAGAATGACAAAGCTATTCCCCATGGCTCAGGTACAACACTTACACAGACAGTGGGGGCAGCCGTTCTCAAATTCACTATTGCAAAGTGGTTTGTTTTCTCCACCTCTACATCCTGGGGAAAAGAAGAGAGGTGAGACCTAATGACAGTAAGGTTGTTCCCTTGACCCCCATCCCCACACAGGGTATTGTACTGAAGGCTCATTATAGTACCTGGTCTATATCTCCCAGATGCCCGTGGATATCCTGGGACAAGTCACGCAGCAGAATGACAGGACTCTTATACGAAACATGCAGGCTGAAGAGCAAGTTCATCAAGCTCTTGCAAAACAAGGCATCCTCTAGGAATAGGAAGAAAAGCAAATTAAAAGGTAAGTTGTGGCCAAGTGCAGTGGCTCACGCCTGTAATCCCAGCACTTTGGGAGGCCAAGGCGGGTGGATCACCTGAGGTCAGGAATTCAAGACCAGCCTCACCAACATGGAGAAACCCCGTCTCTACTAAAAATATAAAATTAGCCGGGCATGGTGGCGCATGCCTGTAATCCCAGCTACTTGGGAGGCTGAGGCACGAGAATTGCTTGAACCCAGGAGGCGGAGGCTGCGGTCAGCCAAGACCGTGCCATTGCATTCCTGCCTGGGCAACAAGAGTGAAACTCTGTCTCAAAAAAAAAAAAAAAAGTTAAGTTATAACCCAGTCAGGTCCCTCAGGTATGTGTACAGGGTGTGTGGGGTGGAGTGCCTAACCAGAACAGGAGGTAGCTTGTCGTGTCTCAGGCACAACATCCCAGTGTTACACATACTACAGCCAAGCAGCTAGTCTGCAATGATGCCTCTTTATCCACATGCCCAAAGAAGGCAGACATTTCCCATCATTAGTTAAGATTACTGTGTAACTAGCATCCAGATCAAGTACATTACGAGTATTCTAGGGACTCCCTCCTAACTTGCCCCGCCAAGGAAACTGCTATCCTGACTTCTAACATCACAGATAAATTTTGTCTAATTTTGAACTTCATCTAAACGGAATTCTACAGTAAGTACCCTTTCTTGTGTCTGGCTTCTTTTGTTTTACAGTACATTTGTGAGATCCTCTCCAAGTTGTGTGTACATGTAGTTTGTTCATGCTTATTTGCTGTATAGGATTCCACTGTGTGAATATATCATAATTCTTTTATCCTTTCTACTGCTGATGAACACTTAGGTTTGTTTTACCTACTAAAATAGTGCTGCTAAGAGAATTCTTCCACATTTTTCTGTTGTGATTCGAATTGTTGAGTCATAGGCATATGTTTAATTTTAGTAGATATTGCTGAACAGTTTTCCATAGTGGTTATACCAATTTCTACCTCCACCCCCAGTGAATGAAAGGTCCAACTACTCTACATTCTTGCCAACAATTCGACTTGGTATTAGGTGTCTGTTTCATTTTGGCCACTCTGGTGAATGTGTAATGAATGGGGAATACCTTTTCTTTTCCAAATGCCACTGGAGGATAGTGATTTTATATAAAGCCTTTAGGAAAACATGGCAGTAAACTTACCCCGGCTGTTTTCCTTGCAAATCTTTGATGTCCAGGATAACATCTGCACAAACTAAATTAGAGATCATTCAGATATTAAAGAAACATGCCAGAGATAGACCTAGGTGTTGTCAGAACAGAAGAGTTCTAGACCTTTCCATATCTAAGCAAATCAGCTGCCAAAACATGTCCTTAGATCTCAAGTGGTAATATATGATGAAGGGCATAAAAATAAGTCCAAAATTCTAAGAATTATGAGAATAATATATAATTTAATTCTCAATGTCTATGTCCTTACTGAGGTCCAAAAGTTTTAGGGTCCTTACACCTGAACTTCCTCTGCTTCTACCATAGTGGTCTAGGGCTAAAGCGCCCTCTTTTCTTTCCCATGCCCCCAGACTCTCCACTTGAGGATATTAGGTTATCAGAAAGGTGTGGGAAAGAGAAAACCTAGCTATAAGAACAGTAGAATTAGCATTTAGAAGCCAAAAGAACAAAGGAGGTTAGAAGAGAGAAGGGCAGAAAAAAGAGAAATAAAAGAGGCAAGAAACCAGACAGCATTTTCTTAGCTAAGTGAAGGAGACTTAAGGTCTTCAGATAGCAAGCATCTGCATCACCAGACACACAGTCAACTTTCTGCTTCAGCAGTTCTTTCAGCTACAAAGGCACCGAAATGCCGTTATACTTAAGTGTAAATGACTAACAAAAATGCAGTTTTGATCTGTTGAGGAAAAGGTAAATTAAGAGGCTAACTGAAAGCTCTCTACAAACTGATATTAAAAGATCTTCAGAATACCGTGCTCAATGAAATAAGCAGGATGCAGAACAAGTTTTTGTGTGAAGAGGGGTAGGATTGGGAATAAAACTCTATATTTACTTGGAAGGGAATAAAGAAGGTTGAAGGACACAAAAAACTAAAGGTGTTTACTTATTTGGGGAGAGGAGGAACTGAACAGATGGAGGACATGGGTGGGGGACACCATTTACCATAAATCTCTTGATAATCTCTGGTTTTCAAATCATAGGACTTTATTACCCATTCAAAATTAAAATTAAAAATTTTTGGCCAGGCGCGGTGGCTCACACCTGTAATCCCAGCACTTTGGGAGGCCGAGGCGGGTGAATCACGAGGTCAGGAGATCGAGATCATCCTGGCTAACACGGTGAAACCCCGTCTCTATTAAAAATACAAAAAATTAGCCGGGTGTTGTGGCAGGCGCCTGTAGTCCCAGCTACTTGGGAGGCTGAGGCAGGAGAATGGCGTGAACCCGGAAGGCGGCGCCTGCAGTGAGCTGAGATGGCGCCACTACACTCCAGCCTGGGAGACAGAGCGAGACTCTGTCTCAAAAAAAAAAAAAATTTTTTTTTAAAGAGACTACCTGAAGTTAAGGGAGAAGGGGTAGGTGGTAAAACGTTTAAAAATCTAAAAGTTTAAAAGTTTAAAAAAGAAAAATTTTTAAATTTTCCTGAACATTTTAGCCTTCCTAAATCCATTTATTTTCTCTCAAATTTCCCCCTGCCCCAATTAGCTATTTCTTTCTCAGTCCTTTCCTCTTTGCAGCAAAAACAGCAGTATGAAAGAACGATGATGAGAGCAAAGTGGGGGTGAGCTGTTTGGAACTGGGATGAAGTAACCAAAGGGACTTTCTTTGGGCAAACCTGGAAGTAGGACGACAGGAAGCAGCTCTGCTTTCTAGTGCCCAAACGCCTTCATACTCCCAGGCTACAGTCTTCTGAGGCAAGGGCTCACATAAAGAGGAGTATACCGCAGGGCTTCATTGTCTTTCTCAAGCCCAGGAAGTAGATGTGGTAGGAGCACACAGTCCTGGGCTCCTGAAGGTACTCTATCATCCTACAGGAAAATTACTCCTGAATGGTACAGACCCCCAACAAGTGGTCCTTCTCTTATTCTTCTGTGTGTGAACGCTCATGTGGGTACACAGCTCTACATCTACGTGTGCACACTTACACAAACATACATACAACCTATCTCTGCAGAGGTGTTTCTGCTTTGGGACTATAGTTACACTTTCTGAATTAATCATCTTTGGTTGAATTTCCTCCAAAGTCAGTACCAGGTAACTGTGCTGAGAAAGTCAACTGCTGAATGTCAACTGCCTTCTTCATAATTAACAAATTTTCTTCTTAGAAAAGAAGTAAACACCAAGAGTGGCAAAGAACACAGGTTTAAGAAGGTTGAAGGCACCAAAGATCAACACAGGATTCTTTCTGTGGTGTTTCACTCTACCCTGAACAAACAAAACAAAAGCAGTATGTTCTTGCCCTGTATGGCTGCATGTAAGTATGCTGTGGTAGACGCATTACACAGGAAAGAATACATCTTATAGGTCTTATATTAACTCAGGTGTATAATTAAACACATTATGTAAAATAAGCTCAATTTCAAGAGGACATTTAGATATACACTTTTATGATGCAATAATCCTTGCCTTCTGAGGAATGCTAAATGGGATTAAGTTAGCGGTACTAGTACCTGAGGAGAGGAGGGCTCCAGTAACTTGGACAAACTGGTAAGAACCGTGACTAGCAGGAGGGCTTCTTTGCTATTAAAATCTTCCTCTTGACTGCTAAGTAAATTCAACAAGGACCTCTGAGAAAGGAAGGCACACACAGCAAGCAATGTTAGCAGACACGTTCCTATCAGGAAGAAGAGGCATCTAGTCAGAGACTCCTAAGACTAGGACAGAAAGAATTCAAAGCTACCAAAATTCTAAGAGGATAAAATCTGAAAATACACCTGAATTGAGCAGTAGTTTCCTAAGCTGTTTTTGACCATAAACCTCTCTGAGAATGCTCCTGAAAACTGACTCTTTCCGTTCCAACCCCATGCAAAATGTAGATAATGAACTATGTACCCAATTTCTGGTGGCTCACAGCTCCCTGGAGCCTATCCATTGATCTCAGGCTTAGACAAGGCACCAAACCCAGCAATGCTTATATACCTTCCCTGTTACCTGAAATAACTATGTATTTGATTATTTGTCAGTGTCTTTCTACTATAATGTAAGCTCCATAAGGATAGGAATATTTTGTCTCTTTTGTTCCCTGCTACATCCCCAGCACCTAGAACTGTTTCTGGCACATGGTAGGAACTTCAGAATTACTTGTTAAATAAAAAACTCCTGTGATAGAACATCCTGATATTTTGACAACTATTGGTTAGAAACTAACAAACTTTATTGTCCAGTGTTTACGTTGTCTGTCAGACCAAGCCAAATTATACCACAGACTCAGAAAACAAAAACACAGACTCTATGCCTTGAAGACTCCTTTCTGTTTACATCAACTCAAACAGTGGTCCTTAGAAGTAATGAGTATTGCAGGTTGGGGTGGCTAAATACCTATCCTCACTAGGGTCCTTTTAAATACATTATCTTCCATTCTGAGAGCTATGTCCTGTTGCCTGTATGACCCAGAAAAAATTCTTCTCCTACTTGGTCACTGTCTGCCCATTCTTACCAGCTGCCCCTGCTAACAGTTCCTTTGCAAAGCCTCTCAGGCCAGTACAGCAGCTTTGCAAGGCTTCTCACCTGAAATTGCCGGATCTGGAATGCTGTTCTCTGAGTGACACTGACATCTGCATCTTCTCTCTCTTCTCCTTCCTTATCTGTGACATCTAGGAATGGAAAAGAAACTCTTGTCTTCTTTGATATAAACTCATACTTTTTGGCCTTTTAATAGCTAAAATTTTTGAAAGCCAAAAAAAAGTCTAAAGGCAGACTTAAATTTCTAAAATTTTGTGATTTCTTAATACTATATTCCATTTTCCAGCCACTCTTTGTGGTTGAATGTAATCCAGTAGGTACCAATCCTGAATCCACTAGATGTCACTCCTTAGCAACATTAGGACTGTTCTCAAGTGTCTTCTGGTAGGTTAACAAATGGAATTAAGGGGTTGAGCTAAGGAGAAACCTAAATCAAGCCTATTTATTGATACTGCAATGCTTACCCAGAGCTCTGAGAAACTGCTGAATCTTGGGCTGATAGAACTGTTGCACAGCACTGAATATTTTCTGTAAACCCTCCAAGCACAGCAGTGAGATGCTCTTTCCTTTCTCTTTCTTTCCCGACTCTTCCACTGAAGTAGGAATTGAAGTGTATCTCCATAGCAAGACTCTGAAGCAGGAGAAAGTGGTATTGTTTTTAAAGACAGGTTCACCGAGATAAAATAACAAACAGTAAAATTCTTACCCTGTAGGTGAACAGTTCTAGAAGTTTAAAAAAACTTACATGGTTGTGTAATCTCCCCACAATCAAGGTATTTCTATCACTCTAAAAGTTCCCTTGTGCTCACTGATAGTCAATTCTCTCCTCCCATTTCCAAGCAACTACTGATCTAATTTCTGTCCCTATGGTTTTACTTTCTACGAAACATCATACAAAAATGGTTATCATTCAGTATATAGCCTTCTGAGTCTGCCTTTAACACAGCAGACTCTATATTCATCAGGGATATTGCTATGCAGTTTTCTTGCAATGGTCTGGGTCTGGTTTGGTATCAGGGTAATGCTGACCTCATTAATTAAATGAGGTGGAATATGTTCTCTCCTATTTCCTGGAAGAATTTGCACAGAATTTACATTACTTCTCCCTTAAATGTTTGGATGAATTTACCACGGAATAGACCTAGATCTTAAGTTTTGTGAAAAAAGTTTGAACCACAAATTCAATTTCTTTGAATAGAGATAAGATTACTCAGGTTTTTTTGAATAGAGATAAGATTACTCAGGTTTTTTTTTTTTTTTTGAGACAGAGTCTCACTCTGTCACCCAGGCTGGAGTGCAGTGGGGTGATCTCACTGCAAACTCACACCTCCCAGATTCAAGTGGTCTTCCTGCCTCAGCTTCCTGAGTAGCTGGGACTACAAGTGCATACCACCACGCCCAGCTAATTTTTGTATTTTTTTTAGTAGAGCTGGGGTTTCACCATGTTGGCCAGACTGGTCTTGAACTGCTGACCTCAGGTGATCCACCTGCTTCGGCCTCCCAAAAGTGCTGGGATTACAGATGTGAGCTACCACGCCCGGCCAGGTTGCCTATTTTTTGTTGAGTGAGCTTTCAAGAAATCTGTCCATTAAACTTAAAAGTTTACTGGCATAAAATCGTTAATATTCTATTATCTATTTTTTAGCATCTGTAGGATCAGTAGTGATGTCCCTTCTTCCTCAATTCTGCAATTTGTAATGTGTCTTCTCTTTTCCTGATTAGTCTGGCTAAAGTTCATTAAATTTATTGATCTTCTCAAAGAACCAGCTTTCTTTTAATGTTTTCTATTTTAATTTTCTGCTTCTTCATAGTTGTGCTTTTGTCTATTTCCTTCCTTCTGATTACTTTCATTATAATTTGCTCTTCTTTTTCTATTTTCTTAATGTGGAAGTTTATATGGGAGATCTGAGATTTTTAAATCACTAACTGCTTTAATTTCCTCAATAGCACTTTGGCTGGATCATATCTTTTGACATGTTGTCTGTTTGTTTCCATTCTATTCAAGATGTTTTCTAATTTCCCTGACGACTTTTTGACTATGGGCTATTTAAAAATGCATTTAATTTCTAATATATGGGGATTATCTAGATATCTTTCTGTTACTGCTTTCTTCTTTAATTCTGTTTGGTCAGAGAATTTCTACTTTTTTTTAATTTGCTGAGTTTTATGGCCCAAAATATGGCTCATCTTGGTGAATACACCATGTGCACCTAAAAAGAAGTGTGTATTTTGAAGGTGCTGTGGAGTGTTCTTATAAGTGTCAATTAAATCAAGCTGGGTGACAGTGTTGTTCACTTCTTCTACCTCCTTTCAGTAGATTTTCTATCTACTGGTTTTTTTTTGTTTTGTTTTCTGTTTTTTGACTATGGAGAGAGGGCTGATTACATTAATTAAGGATTTGTCTATTTTTCCTTCAGTTCCATCAGTTTTTGCTTTAAGTATTTTGAATCACTTAACCATTATGTAATATCCCTCTTTTTTTCCCCAATAATAGCATAACATTTTATATGTGACTAACAATCCATATCAAAGCAAGACTAGAAGCCCTGGGAACCCAAGAGCTCAAGGCCAGCCTGGGCAACACTGCAAACCCCATCTCTTTAAATGAAAAAAAAACAAAAACAAAAAAACAAACGAGCCCCCTCCCCCTCCCCCTCCCTCTCCCCACGGTCTCCCTCTCCCTCTCTTTCCACGGTCTCCCTCTGATGCCGAGCCAAAGCTGGACTGTACTGCTGCCATCTCGGCTCACTGCAACCTCCCTGCCTGATTCTCCTGCCTCAGCCTGCCGAGTGCCTGCAATTGCCGCCACACCTGACTGGTTTTCGTATTTTTTTGATGGAGACGGGGTTTCGCTGTGTTGGCCGGGTTGGTCTCCAGCTCCTAACCACGAGTGATCCGCCAGCCTCGGCCTCCCGAGGTGCCGGGATTGCAGACGGAGTCTCGTTCACTCAGTGCTCAATGGTGCCCAGGCTGGAGTGCAGTGGCGTGATCTCGGCTCGCTACAACCTCCACCTCCCAGCCGCCTGCCTTGGCCTCCCAAAGTGCCGAGATTGCAGCCTCTGCCCAGCCGCCACCCCGTCTGGGAAGTGAGGAGCGTCTCTGCCCGGCCGCAATCCCATCTAGGAGGTGAGGAGCGCCTCTTCCCGGCCGCCATCCCATCTGGGAAGTGAGGAGCGTCTCTGCCTGGCCGCCCATCGCCTGAGATGTGGGGAGCGCCTCTGCCCCGCCGCCCCGTCTGGGATGTGAGGAGCACCTCTGCCCGGCCGCCCCGTCTGAGAAGTGAGGAGCCCTGCCGCCCGGCAGCCGCCCCGTCTGAGAAGTGAGGAGCCCCTCCGCCCGGCAGCCACCCCGTCTGGGAAGTGAGGAGCGTCTCCACCCGGCAGCCACCCCGTCCAGGAGGGAGGTGGGGGTCAGCCCCCGCCAGGCCAGCCGCCCCGTCCGGGAGGGAGGTGGGGGGGGTCAGCCCCCCGCCCGGCCAGCCGCCCCGTCCGGGAGGGAGGTGGGGGGGTCAGCCCCCCGCCCGGCCAGCCGCCCCGTCCGGGAGGTGAGGGGCCCCTACTGGGAAGTGAGGAGCCCCTCTGCCCGGCCAGCCGCCCCGTCCGGGAGGGAGGTGGGGGGGTCAGCCCCCCACCTGGCCAGCCGCCCCGTCTGGGAGGTGAGGGGCCCCTACTGGGAAGTGAGGAGCCCCTCTGCCCAGCCACCACCCCGTCTGGGAGGTGTACCCAACAGCTCATTGAGAACGGGCCACGATGACAATGGCGGTTTTGTGGAATAGAAAGGGGGGAAAGGTGGGGAAAAGATTGAGAAATCGGATGGTTGCCATGTCTATGTAGAAAGAAGTAGACATGGGAGACTTTTCATTTTGTTCTGTACTAAGAAAAATTCTTCTGCCTTGGGATCCTGTTGATCTGTGACCTTACCCGCAACCCCGTGCTCTCTGAAACATGTGCTGTGTCCACTCAGGGTTAAATGGAAAAACAAAAACAAAAACAAAAACAAAACAAAACAAAAAAAACGAAAAAACAAAAGCCACAGTGGCTCAGGCCTGTAATCCCAGCACTTTGGGAGGCTGAGATGGGCGTATCGCTTGAGCCCAGGAGTTCAAGACCAGCCTGGGCAATATGGTGAAATCCTATCTCTACAGAAAATTAAAAAAAAAAAAATAAGGGCCAGGTGCAGTGGCTCACGCCTGTAAACCCAGCACTTTGGGAGGCCAGGGTGGTGGATCACCTGAGGTCAGGAGTTCGAGACCAGCCTGGCCAACATGGTGAAACCCTGTCTCTACTAAAAATACAAAAATTAGCAGGGCATGGTGGTGCCCTGTAATCCCAGCTACTTGGGAGACTGAGGCAGGAGGATCACTTGAACCGGGGAGGCCGAGGTTGCAGTAAGCCAAGATCACGCCACTGCACTCTAGCCTGGGTGACAGAGCAAGACCCTGTCTCCAAAAAAAGTAGTAAATAAAATAAACTAAAATTAAAAATTAAAAAGTAGTTGGGCATGGTGGTGTGCACCTGTAGTCCCAGCTACTCAGAAAGCTGCAGTGGAAGGACTGCTTGAACCTCGGAGGAAGGGGTTGTAGTGAGCCGAGATTGCACCACGGCATTCCACCCTGGGCAATAGAGCGAGACTCTCTCAAAAAAAGCCAAAAAAAAAGCCAAAACAACAACAACAACAAAAAAAAAAAGGTGGGGGGGGCGCCAGGGGAAGGCAAGACTAGAAAAAAGACCCTATGTCAATGACTGCACTTTTTTTCACTCTTTTAAGATGGAGTTTCGCTCTTGTTGCCCAGGCTAGAGTGCAATGGCACAATCTAGGCTCACTGCAACCTCCGCCTCCCAGGTTCGAGCAATTCTCCTGCCTCAGCCTCCCGAGTAGCTGGTATGACAGGCATGTGCCACCATGCCAGGCTAATTTTTGTATTTTTAGTAGAGATAGGGTTTCTCCATGTTGGTCAGACTGGTCTCGAACTCCCAACCTCAGGTAATCCACCCGGCTCAGCCTCCCAAAGTGCTGGGATTACAGGCATGAGCTGCCATGTCTGGCTTTTTTTTTTTTTTTTTTCTTTTGAGAGTCTTGCCCTGTCACCCAGGCTAGAGTGCAGTGGTATGAACTCAGCTCACTGCGACCTCCACCTCCTGGTTCAAGTGATTCTCTTGCCTCAGCTTCCTGAGTAGCTGGGATTACAAGTGCCTGCCACCTGGCTAATGTTTTATATTCTTTCACTCCTAAAATATGTCCAACCTCAAATTACCTTCATCCTCTGTTCCCAGTTTGTTCTCTTGGAGACACCACAGCCAAGTGGAATAAGTTTCTAAGGGGTGGGAGTGGCTTACCGAGTTATGTCACAGAGGTTCTGAAAGATCTTTTCTGGGT
This sequence comes from Homo sapiens, assembly GCF_000001405.40. Classification (NCBI taxonomy): domain Eukaryota; kingdom Metazoa; phylum Chordata; class Mammalia; order Primates; family Hominidae; genus Homo; species Homo sapiens. Next base: position 89,295,054 of record NC_000015.10, on the reverse strand, counting down.
TTTGGCCATCAGGGCCACTCACATGCCCTGTTTCCTTTAGCTGCTGTACTTTCTGCAGAGCTACATTCACTGCATAGCGCATAAACTCATTGCTGGACCTGAGAACAGAAAGGCTTTCTTGGTGGCTTTGGATACTATCCCTAGAGAGAGACAGAGAGAGAGAAAGAAAAAGGAAGATTCCCTTACTGCTATTGGTATATGGAATTAAGCTTTCTAGAAATTGTTCAGAACAGCAGCACCCAACAGAGCTTGCCAGTAAGTTCCGACTGGCAGACTCTCTAGGCAGCCCAAGCTATAGTCACTGCTATGGCTGCCCTTTTATAATCGTTATTCTTAGTGGTTCCTCATTTTCTCTCCCTCCCCAAATCCTTTACTTTGATAAAATTTAAATGTCAGTCTTAGTCTTTTAGGTTTTTTTTTGTCCCTTTGTATTTTTAATTCAGTCACCCCCCCTACCTTTTTATTTATTTAGGCAGAATTTTGTTCTTGTTGCCCAGGCTGGAGTGCAATGGCATGATCTCGGCTCACTGCAACCTCTGCCTCCTGGGTTCAAGTGAGTCTCCTGCCTCGGCCTCCCAAGTAGCCGGGACTACAGGTGCGCACCACCATGCCCGGCTAATTTTGTATTTTTAGTAGAGATGAGGTCGCACCATATCGGTCATGGCTGATCTTGAACTTTTGACCTCAGGTGATCCACCCACCTCAGTCTACCAAAGTACTGGGATTACAGGAGTGAGGCACCATGCCTGGCACCCCCTACCTTTTTATATCTGTTATCTTGTACAAGCTACTTACATAGATTTTCTTAAAACACCCTGCTGGAATTCATCCCTATCTTTTCATTTATTGGCCCACTGTTTCTCATTTGTCCTTTAATAATTCAAGGTACCTACTTAAAGTACCTACCTAGGATTGTCCAGCTTTTATTTCAAGAAAAATAAAACCTCCTGACTTATTTCTTACTGTAAACAATCCAAACGAGGTGAAACAAGTGAGCCTAGGTAGGTATACGATCCTCAGGGAGTGGCTGTCTTTAAGCACTCTAGCAGAACCTTACCTGAAAAGAGCAGTGAGAAGACTGGACACAAATTTCATGGACAAAAGACTATCACTTGTCTTGTTGGCCATTTTAGTTTTGGCTTTACCCGCTTTTTCATTAAGAATGTCAGAGAGTTTTTTGTAACACATAAATAAGCTCAGAATGTCCTCAAACCTATTCTTACTGTAAAAAACAAAAAAGAGACCGCTAAGGACAAACATCAGAATATTGTGGTTTACTTTTACATATGATAATAATCACAATGCTTCTTTAAATGTCATATTTTAGACGTAACATTATAAATGAATAGAACTTCATTAATATAATACTCCCAGGTCACAGCAATCTATCTGGGTTTTGTTTCCCCTGGTGTGACCTTGGCTCACTGCAACCTCCGCCTCCCAGGCTCAAGTGATTCCCCTGCCTCAGCCTCCCGAGTAGCTAGGACTACAGGTCCCAGGCACTAACACCTGGCTAAGTTTTACATTATTAGTAGAGATGGGGTTTCACCATGTTGGCCAGGCTGGTCTTGAACTCCTGACCTCAAGTGATACACCCAGCTTGGCCTCCCAAAGTTCTGGGATTACAGGCGTGAGCCACCGCACCTGGCCTCCCCTCCCTTATTTATACCAGTCCCTGCAGAGTATTAAAGTCCAATACTACCACCAATCAAAATTTCCATGTTAAAATTAGGAGTTCTTGAATTCAGGGTCTGGGAAATTCTGAGTAAGTGAAACCCTGCTGGAAGGCTTTCATTTTATAGGCCTGGTAAGCATATACTTCAGCGCTCTCTAGTGGAAAGAACACAGTTTAGTCTTAGACTAGGTGCTCATTTAAGAGACAGTGTCATCGTCTGTGGTCTGTTTACTGCCTAGAATACTGCTACAGTAAAAATATGTAAATAAAATGGAGAATTCATCAAATTACAAATGGAGTTATAGCAAAACCTTACCTGAAACTACTTATGGAGAAATTGTATTCTATTAAAACCTCACAAACTCCCATCACAAGAAAAGCACAGATATTATTTTTTATGCCAATACTGGTGCTCTGAGAAAAATCTGCTGATTTATCCTAAAAGACACAAGATAAAAATTAACAAGCTACTAAAGAACTCCATCATTCAATACAGCTGAGGACTTAGCAATTACCAGTTCAAAGTCTTCCAGCTCACTCTTAATCATTCTATTAGTAATGGACTCCAATATATCATCTAGGTCTTCGTAGAATGCCTCTTCCTCCTCCTCTTCCTCCTCTCCCTGCTGTAAGGGTATGACTGTATTCTTATACCAGGCCAAACAATGCTGAATACAACACAGCAGATAATCCTGTAGGAGAAAATAAGTAAATTAAATACTCTTGAGTGTTGATGGATAACTTATAAAGTTGTTCATAACCAGCAAATAATTCTTATCTATAAGGCTAAAGAAAATGATTCATTGGCGTTACAAATTAAGTCCATCTAAATTAACAAAACTGGGAAAATTAATTGAACAGCAGCATCCTTTTCTAATGCTTCCCCCCGAAAATTGGCCTAAGTGGCTGACACCTCAAAATGCAACATTAGATGTGCTATCTCTGGTCTGATAAATAACCCTGGAGCTAGGTGGTGAAGTTAAATCTTCTCTAGTTCATTTGAGTCCCAGAGGCTATTCTAAAGATAGAGGTTTATGTTGAGGGAATCTTTAGGAGACCAACACAGCATCTTAGATCTAGGCTGAGGACATCTCATGTCACAGAAGGCACAAAAATGAAGGCAAGATATGACAACTGAAAGACTTCCTCCTTTCTTCTGCCATGAGTTATAAGTCACTTGGGGTGGGAGTTTCCATTTTTATCCTCTTCGCTGTCCTTCTGAGGCTAGATAAGAACAGAAAGTCAACCAGGCCTAGCTCCTCTGAAGGTTCAACAGTGCCAATCCTAGTTCAGCCTAAATCATATACTTCCTCTAGACTAATGAAGCAGGTCCCCTAGGTTCATCTGTTCGTAGGTGACATCATCCCTCTCCCCATTCTAAAGTACATTTATTTAGTGAATGTAATCAAAGATTCATAAATGAGATAAAATATTCTCTGGGGGAAGTGATGGAAGCCTTGATTTAGTAAAGGGCTAACATGGAGATAACTTACCAATAGATCCAAAATGATAATGGTTCAGAAATGATAAGCAGGGAAGACTTAAAAGTAAACATTCATTGGAAGAACCAGGAAGAGAGTTTCACAGGGAAAGGTATCTCTTTGCAAAGTTCAACCCTATCCTTAATACTAAAAATAATGGTTGAAGGAAGAATAAAAGTCTCACCAGTGGTTCTTGTAGAGAGATCTTATCTCCTTGGGTCAGAATACAAGCTTCTAATTTCAGAGGAGGCAGCAGATCAGGTTTTGGCTCATAGAACTGTTTTAACTGTGTATAGTAAGAAAAAAAAGACATCTTGGCTCATAAATGCTTTTTACTTTTTTAACTTCTCAGGTGAAAGGTATCTTTAATGTCTAATGCCTTCTAACACACATTTCCCAACTGTTCAAAGAACAATGCAGCCAAGTTTTTATTTCTTTGGCTCACCCACATCCTGTGCTCTTGCTTTGGATATTGTACAGATTAGGATCATCTTTCCTATTCCAATTCCTTCTATTCCTAAACTTGTACATGCAATCAACATTTTCAGTTAACTTGGAGGTTAAAAATACAGGATCCAGAGTCAGACTGGCTGAGTCCAAGATCCCAGTACCACTACTTATTACTGGTTTTTATAAAAGTATCTGTACCGTGATTCCTCATCTTAAAAATGAGGATATTATTAATAATCATTGTATAAGGATTAAACATGACAATACATGTAAAGTACTTCAAACAGTATTTGGCATATAAGACAGCCAAAAAAAATATGAGTTATTATTTTTCTCCTTTTAACTTTTGGAGTCTGCAGAATTTTACTGTCCTGCATATTAACCTGAGTCAGAAAGCGCTATTCTATGCCTTCAAACATAATTTTCTATTTTTGTTAAACGTGTGAATGTAGATGTGTTGATTACAGTTTGAAAGATACAATATAGCTGACAGAATATAAATTTTATATAGGATCAAGCCTAAGGCCAGATGAAAAGCTTTTGATGGACAGTATGGGAACTTCCAATAATTTCACACATCTGAGACCTTAATTTTAAATGAAATTTCATAACTATCACAAAGCAATGGCATTGAGAGACAGCAAACAAAATGATAGACTAGGGGTCTAAAGGAACCCTCCTGGTAGAGAGTCTCTATATGAATTCTTCTAGTCTTGAAGATTAGAAGAATTTAATCTTCTAATTTAAAAATTTGTTAACTGAAAAGTGCAGAAAGGAATGTAAAAGACATCCATGTATCCATTACCCAGATTTAAGAAATAATATTTTGCTATATTTGTTTTGGATTTCTTTTTTCTTTCAGAAATATAACATAATGGATACAGTTGCAATGGTCCTTATATAAATGGTTCTTCAAAATGTCCTTCTGACTTAGGATACAGACTGTTAATTCACAAGGATAACTGCTAGATGATGGTATTATGGCAGACAGGTAAGTGGTGACCGAGATAAGACAACCCAGAACAGCATAACATACCCACAGCATGTTCACAAAGTACTAATGTACTAGTTGGGAATTATTTTATATTTTGAAAGGTCTGAAAACCATCAACTGTCTCTCGATCCTTGATGGTCTGTTTTCCATATATCCATAAAAATGTATTTTACCTGTGAGAGCAGAGTTTGCATGACTGAATTAGCCAGCTGAGAGTTCCTTCGAAGAACATCATAAAACCCCTAAGAGGAATCAAAGAGAAGAAATAAGCACTTTAACAGAGATACTAGTGATCTGGACAATCATAACTTAAAAATAACACTTTCTTTATCCTCTTCTCAGTTTTTTCCTATTGAGACCATATTTGACAGTCCTAAATGCCCTAATATAAATGACCATATTTTTTTCCCACCCAAAATGTCCTAGTCTTAGTTAAGAACTGCTCAGAGTAAAATCCTGGGGAAGCCAGGTGAAGTAACTCACACCTGTAATCCCAGCACTGTGGGAGGCTGAGACAGGCAGATCACTTGAGGCCAAGAGCTCGAGACCAGCCTGGCCAACACAGCAAAACCCTGTCTCTACTAAAAAATACAAAAATTAGCCAGGTGTGGTGGCACATGCCTGTAATCACAGCTACTCGGGAGGCTGAGGTATGAAGGTTGCAGTGAGCTGAGATCACACCAGTGCACTCCAGCCTGGGCAATAGAGCAAAACTCTGTCTTAAAAAAAAAAAAAATCCTGGGGAGAACTTTCATTCTGGAACCTGGAAAAGAGGTTATACAGTTCATCTGTGAGTAAAAGCAAATGAGAATTGATCAAAAAAATTTTTTTGTTTAAAGAAAAGAAACAGGCCAGACACGGTGGCTCATGCCTGTAATCCCAGCACTTTGGAAGGCCAAGGCAGGAGGGATCACCTGAGGTCAGGAAGTCGAGACCAGCCTGGTCAACATGGTGAAACCCCATCTCTACTAAAAATATAAAAATTAGCCAGGCATGGTGATGCACGCCTGTGATCCCAGCTACTTGGGAGGCTGAGGCAGGAGAATCGCTTAAACTGGGGATGGGGAGGTTGTGGTGAGCTGAGACCCGAGACCGCACCACTGCATTCCAGTCTGGGCAACAGAGTGAGACTCCATCGGAAAGGAAAGGAAAACGGAAAAAGGGGAAAGGGGAAAGGAACGGAACAAAGGAAAATTAATCCTAACAGCAATTAAAATATTTTATGAATGTGTAATAATAATAAAAAGACACTTTGTCTTGGCACAAAAATCTACAGGCAAAATTTTAAAATGGCATACAGAGATACATAGTACACATTAAGGAGGCAATGATGTCTGAACAAATGGTTAGCTTGGGGGAAAAGCTCCTCATATATATTATCATACAAATTCAGGATGAATTAAGTAGCTAAACGTCAAAAACAAATGCATAAAAAAAAAAACCTCAAAGAAAATGTTAGTGAATATTCATTGGAAGGATTTGGACTTTCTACAGATAAAATAATAATAAAGATGGGCCGGGCACGGTAGCTCATGCTTTTAATCCCAGCACTTTGGAAGACTGAGGCAGGAGGATCGCTTGAAGCCAGGGCATTTGAGACCATCCTGGGCAACAAAGTGAGACCCTGTCTCTACAAAAGGTTAAAAAAAAAAACAAACAGAAAAATTAGCTGGGTGCAGTGGCTTGTGCCTATGGTCCCAATCGTTTGGGGATGGGGCTGAGGCAAGAGGATTATTTGAGCCTAGGAGCTGGAGGCTGCAGTGAGTTAGACTGCACTAGTGCACTCCAGCCTGGATAACAGAGGAAGACTCTGTCTCTTAAAAAAAAAAAAAAAGTAATAGAAGACATCTCAGAGGAAGAAAATCAATAGATTTAGTAACCAAAAATTATTATTTAAGTGTAAAAGGATCATATTAAAAAAAAAGCAAATGGCAATCTGGCATACACTTGCAACAAATATGACAAGTTTTATCACTACATAAGGTATTTTTATATACCAATGATATACTAAGACTGATGAATAAATGAACAGCAATATTCTAATAGGTTTAAGTCTATGATCCACTTCATGTTAATTTTTTTTACTTTAGAGCTAAATAAGGGTGAAGATTTTTTTTGGGGGGGAAGGGGCATATCAAGGACTGCACAAGAGTTAACACATGAAGTCTAAGACTGCCTATCCTTAGTGCACCTTTGCCAGCTGGTGGCTGAGAATTTAGCTGGTAAACAGTTACTTACACTGACACAAAGCTCACCCTAAAGAAGAGTGGCTCACTGTGCCTTAACTGTTTAAACAATGTGGTTTATACAGAATATGGGCGTACCTAATTTTATTGCAAGTTGCTTGATTGCACTTCGCAGATATTACGTTTACAAATTAAAGGTTTGTGGCAACCCTACATCAAGCAAGTCTCTCAGTACCATTTTTCCAAAAGCATGTGCTCACTGCATGTCTCTGTGTCACATTTTGGTAATTCTCATAATATTTCAAACTTTCTCTTTATTATTGTATGTGTTATGGGGATCTATGATAAATGATCTTTGACATTACTATTGCAATTGGTTTGAAGAGTCACGAATTGTGTCTATATAAGATAGTGAACTTAATTGATAAATGCTGTGTATGTTCTGACTGGTTCCACTGACTGGGCCATCATCCCATCTCTCCACCTCTCCTCAGGCCTCCCTATTCACTGAGACAAAACAATATTGAAATTAGGTCAATTAATAACCCCTACAATGACCTATAAGTATTCAAGTGAAAGGAAGAGTCGCACGTCTCTCACTTTAAATCAAAAGCTAGAAATGATCCAGTTTAGTAAGGCATGTTACAAGCTGAGGCAAGTCAAAAGCTAGGCTTCTTGCACCAAAGAGCCAAGTTGTGAATGCAAAGAAAATGCTCTTAAAGGAAATTTAAAGTGCTATTCCAGTGAACATATGAATGATTAGAAAGCAAAACAGCCTTATTGCTGATGTGAAGAAAGTTTTAGTGGTCTGGTAAAAGACCAAGCCAGCCACAACATTCCCTTAAGTCAAAGCCTAATCCAGAGCAAGGACCAAACTCTTCAATTCTATAAAGCCTGAAAGAGATGAGGAAGCTGCCAAAGAAAAGCTGAAGCGAGCAGAGGTTGGTTCATGAGGTTTAAGGAAAGAAGCCATCTCCATAACATAAAAGTGCAAGGGGCTGGGCGCAGTGGCTCACGCCTGTAATCCCAGCACTTTAGGAGGCCGAGGCGGGCAGATCACGAGGTCAAGAGATTGAGACCATCCTGGCCAACATGGTGAAACCCCAGTCTCTACTAAAAATACAAAAATTAGCTGGGTATGGTGGCGTGAGCCTATAGTCCCAGCTACTTGGGAGGCTGAGGCAGGAGAATCACTTGAACCTGGGTGGCGGAGGTTGCAGTGAGCCGAGATTGTGCCACTGCACTACAGCCTTGTGACAGAGTGAGACTCAAAAAAAAAAAAAAAAAAAAAGTGCAAGGTGAAGCAGCAAATGCTGATGGAGAAGCTGAGGCAAATTATCCAGAAGATATAGCTAACATAATTGATCGAGGTGGTTATATTAAACAACAGATTTTCAATGTAGATGAAATAGCCTTATATTGGAAGAAGACTTTATCTGGGACTTGCCTAGCTAGGGAGGAGAAGTCAATGCCTGGCTTCAAAGGACAGGCTGACTGTCTTGTTAGGGGTTAATGTAGCTGCTGACTTTAAGTTGAAATCAATGCTCATTTACTATTCCAAAAATCCTAGGGCCCTTAAGAATTATGCTACATCTACTCTGCCTGTGCTTTATAAATGGAAAAGCAAAGCCTGCATGATAACACATCTGTTTATAGCATGGTTTGCTGAATATTTTAAGCCCACTGTTGAGACCTACTGCTCAGAAAAAAAAAGATTCTTCTCAAAATATTACTGCTCATTGATAGTGCACCTAGGCATCTAAGAGCTCTGATGGAAATGTACAGAAAGATGAATGTTGTTTTCACATATGCTACCACAATATCCTCTGGGTGAGTTATATGCTAATCACAAGTCAGTAGTTGTATTTCTCTTAGCTGTACTGTCATAATAACTAGTGATTTAATCAGACGTTCAGTAAACTGTTGAAAACCCAGTGCAAAAAGAAAAAGAAGTTGCTTTTATAAAAACTAAGTTAGGCCAGGCATGGTGGCTCACGCCTGTAATCCCAATACTTTGGGATGCCGAGACAGGTGGATCACTTGAGGCCAGGAGTACAAGACCAGCCTGGCCAACATGGTGAAATCCCATCTCTACTAAAAATACAAAAATCAGCTGGGCATGGTGGTGCATGGCTGTAATCCCAGGTACTTGGGAGGTTGAGAAGCAGGAGAACTGCTTGAACCCAGGAGATGGAGGATGGAGGCTGCAGTGAACCGAGATTGTGCCACTGCACTCCAGCCTGGGTGACAGAGCGAGACTCTGTCCCAAAGAAAAAAAAAAACTAAGTTTGGAACAATGTTTGGAAAGTCAGTCTCTCAAACCAATTTCTGATAAATTAGAGGTAACACAATTGTAAAAAGAGAAAAAACTGAAGCTATCTAAAAGATTTTTGTGCTAAACTGTATCTGAGGTAGCTTAAAGTTTTCATACCACTTTAGGTAAACACAAATTTGAAACTATAGGCAATAAATTAAGGGTATGGGTTTGTATGAGAGGCAGGAAGTAAACTTGTAATCATTAACAAAGCAAAAAAAAGGACTTAGTCTTAAGACTGGCAAATTTATAGTATATTTAAATATTTCAAATTAAAATAAAATATTTAAGGTCTATCAACTGTGTTTTATGATTTCTCACCTTAAAAAAATTTTTTTGAGAGACAAGGTCTCACTGTTGCCTGGGTTGGAGGGCAGTGGTGTGATCATAGCTCACTGCAGCCTCACTGCTGGGATCCTCCTGCCTCAGCCTCCTGAGTAGCTGGGACCACGGGCGCATGCCACCACACCCAGCTAATGTTTTTTATTTTCTTATTTTTTGTAAAGACAGAGTCTTGCTTGATCCTCCTGCCTTGGCCTCACAAGGTGTTGGGATTACAGGTGTGAGCCACTGTGCCCTGCCTTAAACAACTTTTTGACTAAACATCACTAGCTACTGGTGCTGACTACATCAAGTAAGAGCATAGCTATTGTACTTTTATAATCAGGAAAAAAATTACTAAAATAAAAATTATTAGTTGGGGTTTTGCTACATTCTTTCCATTCTACGGACTTACCTCATAAAGCATGAGTCGAACATCAGCTTGCTGGCTTAAGCATCTCCTCAAACTATCCATGATCTCAAGGCAAAAAGTTTCATTGGCGACAGAATTGTAATGGCTGTGAACATCCACATGAACCTGAAAGGAAGACAGGCCAATTCACGTCTATCTTACCAAAGCTGTTTCCAATAAGGAGCTAAATGAGCCTATGTTCTTGGTCGAAAAAACTTAGCTTCCTCCACATGCCAAACCCCAGGGGTGAGACACACAGTATAATCATTACCATGCAGTAGTAAGTGTCACTCTTATTCTGGTTTGGAATAAGAGAATTTTTAAGCATTTTAACAAAATTAACTGTTCATATTCCTTAAGGTTTCCTTGACAATATCAATTGCTTAGGAAGGTACACTGCTTATTTCAAGCCACTAGAATCCAGTAGTAACAATATACATAATTTTATTTAAAAGGTCTAAGACTTCTTCAATAGCTAGAAGAATCTCACTATTCCACAAATTCTAGAAAGGTTGAGAGGAAGACAGTCTTTTGTTTAGAAATGGACATGACAAAGAACTGACATCCTTTGTGTAAATTACATAATAAAATCAGCAATTATAGACCAAGAATTCCTAATCCTTACTCCAGGCATCACAGTAATGTAGTTCATACTGCCTGAGGCCAAATCCTTCTTCCACCCTTTCTTGGTTATATAACCTTGGGCAAGTTATTTAACCTGGCTCAGCCTCAGTTTCCCTGTCTTTAAAATGGGGATAATAACACACAAATGATATCTAGTGTTCCTAATATTTAATCTATGCTATATGTTATAGACAAAGCTTTATGTAGTTATACCAAAGCAATAAAGTGAGGATTCCTAGTCAAACTGTTATATATAAATGTCTCCTATTTATAAATCTTATAGTACATCATTTAAATTATGAAGACAATTTTATTGCTCCAAAGCCTAGATTACCAGATTATTATAAAAAGTTTTGTTTTCCCAGATTACAAGGTGTAATATATGTTCCTGTGCAAAGTAAATACAATGACGTAAGAAAATGGGATAATAATAGTATCTAGCCTCAGAGGACTGCTGTGAAGATTAAATGAGATAATAAATGTAAAGCATTTTGGCACAATATCTAGCACCGTGCTATCCAAAAGAAATATAATATGGGCCGGGTGTGGTGGTTCACGCCTGTAATCCCAGCACTTTGGGAGGCCGAGGCGGGTGGATCACGAGGTCAGGAGATCGAGACCTCCTGACTAACACAATGAAACCCCATCTCTACTAAAAATACAAAAAATTAGCCAGGCACGGTAGCAGGCGCCTGTAGTCCCAGCTACTCGGGAGGCTGAGGCAGGAGAATGGCGTGAACCCGGGAGGCAGAGCTTGCAGTGAGTTGCAGTGAGCCGAGATCGCGCCACTGCACTCCAGCCTGGGTGACAGACTGACTCCGTCTCAAAAAAAAAAAAAGAAAGAAATATAATATGAACCACAAATGCAAGCCATGTATGTAATTTTATATTTTCTAGTAGCCACATTAAAAAAGAGAAAGAGATAAAGTCAAATTTTAATGTTTTCTGTAACCCAACACATACAAAATTCTCTCTGAAGATGTAATCAATATTAAAAATTATTAGATTTTTACATTCTTTTATTTCAAAATCTGGTATGAATTTTGCATGTATAGCACAACACAATGTGGACTAGCCACATTTCAATCAAATGTTCCATTCAATAGCCACACTGAGGACAGTGGCTACCATACTGGATAGCACAGTTTAGCATACAGTAAATCTGCCATTAATGAGTGTTAGCCAATATCATCATCATCATCATCATCAGCACCATCATCATCATCAGACTCTTTAGTTCTAGGATCATTCTTACAACCATAACAGGAATAAAAGAAAACAGCGTGCATTTCATCGATGCACATGAATGATACGCACACACTGCAAGTTAACGTAAATAATCCTTACCTGACTGACACTGAGAGACTGACTGCACTGAGAGGATGACAGGCTGCCTAAAACTTTAAAGTTCTTCAGGAGCAGCAAAAACCCAGCAACTGCAGATTTTCGGGCATCAAGCTGGCTAGCTCAGAAATAGAGAAGTTAACAAACAGTACTATTTCACAGGAATATGCTTCTGGGTCAGAAAAATCCAGCTAGTTGCATACAGAGAAGGCATATGTATAAACAATGAAGCGTAGAGCAAAACAAAGTGAATTTATGTACTCAAAATAAGGTATCAGCTGTTCAAAGCAATTTATAGTACAGAAATTCAACTGACTTTTTTCAATACTTAACTCATGATACTCTACTTCCTTCTATCCTGCTCTCAAGTCTATGTGAGGAATAAGAAGACTGCTGAGAGACTGTAAAATTGGCTGGTTACTCAAATGTAAGAAATTGCTGATTTTGCCATGTTTGAAGGAGTGCTTCCCTTCATATGCTCTCTTTCATCATAGGATAATGTAATATTTGATGCCATGTAAACTGTCCATCCAGAAAATGTCACACTTGTCTTCTCACTGAGGCGCAATGATTAATTCATGTTAAAGATGTTACAACGTAATATCTCAGTCTATTCGCTATGCCTTTGGGTGAGGAGTAACAAAAACTTTTAATTCTAGAACAAAGATAATAGCATATGGCTTAGTTGTTCCTCTGGACACCCATGAATATATTATAATATGGCCAATGTGATATTAATTGGGCATCTTATCCTCAAAGTACCAAATGCTTTTCACATATTACTGTCTTATATTTTTAGGAGATGGCAAGATCATCTCTAGCTTATATACTAAGAAATAAAGGAAGAGATGTTAGGAGGGACTGGCTAAGCTACAAATAAAACTCATTCCCCTCAACAATTAATTTGATCTACTAGCCTCTAGATCATAATTCAGATGTTCACTAAAATGAGATTCTTAAGTATAATCTTCTTGACTAAGGTACTTTCCCCTTTGGAACTGCTGCCAGCTCAGGTTTCAGAGTATTTGACACTAGAACATTACCCTGAAGATTATTCTAATGTAGTAGAGCAAAGTACTTGACATCACAAGCTCTGATGTTAGACCTGACTTTGAATCCTTGCTCCACCACCAACTACTGTTTTACTTTTGGAAAGTCACTCATCTTCTCTAAGCCTAACTTTTCTTATCTGTAAAATGGGAATTGCAATAATTCTTACTTCATAGGGTTGCTCTGAAGACTAAATGAAAAAAGCACATAAAGCACTTAGCAAAATGCCTTATTTGATGAAATTGCTCTGCGGGGCTAGGAATTCTCATGATCACTGTGAACAGGTGGTACTAGGAGATGGCAGAGATAACTTTAGCTCCAACATTAGAAGACAACGTCTTCCTATGATAGAAAAAGATGCTACATACTTGGCAAACATAGCTTTCCGAAGGACAAGTATCAAGCAGTCTCTCATTGACATGCTGACTTTGAGAAGGGGCTGAAAAAGAATCAGTGGGTAAAAACAGAACAAGTTTGCTTATTAGCCTTAGGTCATTTCTACCCAATACTGTTACCATATGGCTTCTATAAGGAAGCTTACTTCTGTTTTATATACGTTTTAATGTTTATTACAGTTAACAAGGACAATAGTATACTCTGAAACACTAAAATGAAACTGGTTGCAAATGCCTCTGTAAATCTATTGTAGTCAATAATGTTCTAAGAGAGTTTTAATTATTTCATTAACTTGAAAATGAGTTGAGAGAATAGTGTTATGGATAGGAAATAAACCTGGAAAACAGTCTTGCTCAATGCTCTTGCCCTTTTAATGCAAATTTTATGTTTCAGACTAAAGTGGAATAGAATTTCTTAGACATATATATTTATACAAAAATGCATCAGACTTCCACTAGACAGTTAAACCTCAGTTTTGGCAAGTTACTTGGGAATCTGAAGACTTACCTGCACTGCCTTAAGCAGCCTTTGTACAGTCTGAAGGGGCAGAAAGGACAAATAGTCAAAAGCTTCTGTGACTTTAGAAGAACAACTTTGAAGAACTAAGGGTGCATACATGACGATATTTGAAAGCAGGTCTGAAAAACAGAATCTATAATCAGTTGTCTCAAATAACTAAAGATAACTGAAATAAAAGAAAAATACGGAGAAAGAAATGTGAAGTCTTTTGTTTCCTTTCTCAAATAAGTCAAGTATACTGCAATACAAATTTCTACTGATTCTATATATACTTTTTCTCCAATGTAACCAGGATAATTTTAGCTTTTTTCTATGATAGTTTCAATTTCTATAAAAATTAAACTGCCTAAAAGAAAGGAAGAAACCGATTACACTGCCTAGACATAAGTAGTAGCACACATCTTCTTACTTCTAAGCTAAAATAAATCAATAAATATTTCTGAATTTTTACTATGCACAAGCGTAATATGGTCCTATTAGGAACATAAAAGTATAAAACATAGTCTTTCTTCAAAAATTTTAATAATTTAGTTGGAAGTAAAAAAATTTTTTTAAAGAATTAAAGAGGTAAATCACAGAGCAATATCAAATATCTATTAATTCCAAACATAGTTTATTGCCTACCAAATGGTAAAGGGAGAGTTTAAATAGGAGTTCAAAGGAAGAAGAGCTCATTATGAGTTGGTATATATTAGGAAAGCAATGAGGAGAAGGAACTTAAACTAGGTTCTAAAAGATGGGGAACATTTAAATGCACAAAGCACCAGAAAGGCCTACATATATAAAGGGAAAAGTATGAGTAAAGGTATGAGAAAGGTAAGTTTAAGACATATTCAGAAGATGGTAGGGAAATCAATGATGCTGGGGTGAAGAATCCAGGAAAGTAAATAACTGACTTTAACAATGGAAAGGTAGGGTGGGATCAACTTGTCAAGCACCTTCAGTGCCAGGATAAAGAGCTGACAATTTGGCCAGGTGTGGTGGCTCACGCCTGTAATCCCAGCACTTTGGAAGCCTGAGGCAGGTGGATCACGAGGTCAAGAGATTGAGACCATCCTGGCCAACATGGTGAAACACCATCCCTACTAAAAATACAAAAATTAGCTGGGTGTGGTGGCACGTGCCTGCAGTCCCAGCTACTCTCAAGGCTGAGGCAGGAGAATTGCTTGAACCCGGGAGGCGGAGGTTGCAGTGAGCTGAGATCACACCACTGCCCTCCAGCCTGGGTGACAGAGTGAGACTCCATCTCAAAAAACAAACAAACAAAAAGAGCTGACAATTTACTAAAGAACATATTGATGATTCTGTAGTCATAAGGTGGTATTTTAGGAATACTAATGTGTGGTAATATGCAGGTTAAATTGCTGCAGGGAGAAGAAAAAGCCAGGAAACCAGTTAGAAAGCTGTGGCAGTAGTCTAAATTCAAGGTAGTAAGAATAGGAATTAGACACTGGATGTGAGGTTGGGAGGAGGAGGGAATAAAAAGATAGAAACAATGACAGTATGAGGGAGAAAAATGACAGAACTTGTGTTTGAGAAAATAAAAGGTAATTCCAGCCTCCAGGACCTGGAGAACCATGCTTCAAATAATGGAAATAGGAGCAATGAAAAGGAAAATTTGTTTGAAGGGAACTGTATTATATTTGAGGTAAAAGGAAAACTGGTCACAGGCAGGAAAAGAAGCAGACTCTTACAGTAATCAGAGAACTTACCTAAAAAGTTTCAGGGGAGTTATAAACAGTGATGAATGACACGGAGAAATTTTTAAAATTTGTGATGAAGGCTAGTAAATTTAGACATTAGGAGTTATGTATTAAAAACAGCAAATTCAGGCCAAGCATGGTGGCTCACGCCTGTAATCCCAGCACTTTGGGAAGCTAAGGTGGGTGGATCACCTGAAGTCAGGAGTTCGAGACCAGCCTGGCCAGCATGGCGAAACCCTGTCTCTACTAATAATACAAAAATTAACTGGGTGTGGTAGCGTGCGCCTGTAATCCCAGCTACTGAGGAGGCTGAGACACGAGAACTGCGTGAACCCAGGAGGCAGAGGTTGCAGTGAGCTGAGATTGCGCCACTGCACTCCAGGCAACAGAGTGAAACTGTGTCTAAAAAAGAAACAACAACAACAACAACAACAACAACAACAAAACAGCAAATTCAGAGGTTACCAGAGAGAAACACTGTGCAGTCCAAATGTCAAGGCTAAAAGGACTAGGAAGTCAATGAGTGGCAGCAGCAGGACAGCACTCATTTGAGAGGTATTAACAAAAAGAGAAAATGTTGAGCAAAATGGAAGTTTTACTTATTGGTTAATTGTTGCTTTCCTTACTAACAGCTACAGCCTTTTTGACAACTGACAATCCCAGACAACATAAATGGATTTCCTTTATTGGCATCCTATCAAAGATACTGCATTTAAATGCTCATTAAAATTTTTTTCCCAGGACCAAATGATTATGACATTGAAATGAAAATATTTCTAAAAACTTTATTCATTCTTTCAAAGTTGAATACCTAAGAAATGACTGATGGGAGAAGATGCTCTGGTAACAACCCTGTTGAGGACCTGCTCCAAAATTTCTTGTCTGATCATCTCATGGATCTAAAAAGAACAGAATAAATAAAATATTCCTGGGTGACCCTTCAGCTTTTAAGTATATCAATGCATGTCAGGCAGCATGAAGAACCGTTTGGATATGAGTAAAACTCAAAAAATCAGAATATAATGTGAATCATCTGGAAAGACAGAATCACTCAACTTTCCCCTTGTTCTGTGCTTAGATGATTCATTAGTAGGATAAATACCATGTTTATTAGCCTAAAAGTACAGATCACATTAAACTATTGCTACATATAAGGTTCAGCATCAAACAGGATCAATTCTACTTAGGTATCCATTACCTGACAATATCCATATTCCTGACAGTATACATAACTTTTATTCTAAAAATTAAAATGTAAAAGCCCATGAAGATTTCTAGAAACTTAAAAGATCTTCCCTAACCCCTTTCTCAGTTTCTAGAAGCACAGCAGTTGCTGTTAAAAAGACCCATTCTGAATTTTCACTTGAATTGTAGTTAAAATTCTTACTTCAACTTGATTACTTTATGGTACAGACTAATTCGTTCAGACCTCAGACTGTTAGTGACTTAGTAGCAATTTATAAAGATGCCTTGATAAAGCCGACATCCATGTGAAATCAAATGGAGCCTCTTTAGTTTTGAAAAATAATAATTTAAATATAAAAACATACTCTAAGATAATGTCTTTAACAATATCACTGTTAAGCAGGGTAATTTATATCATCAAATACACTGATAACTCTCAAGAACTATTCTGACATTTACTTCATAGTTCTGGATTAGAACACTAGATTTACATTTAGATCAGCCTCCCAAATAAACATTTTCAGCAGACACTCTTGGTGTGTAGCTACATTAAACAATTGAACATCAAGAAGACTTAGAGGAATTACTAGAAAAGTTGTTTAACCTCAGATATGATCTAGCATTTTTTTATTCAAGAGAAAATAAATTTTTGAAAACTGTTTCAGTAATTAAGATTGAGATGTCAGTGATAATTTGGTAATAATGTCAAAAAAATGTACATTTCCCATTTTGGTTTCTTCAGAAACAATGAACCAATAAGTATGATTCTTTTTTTTTTTTTTTTTTTTTGAGATAGGATCTCACTTTGTTACCCAGGCTGGAGTGCAGTGGTGCAAACACAGCTCACTGTAGCCTTGACTTCCTGGGCTCAAGTGATCCACCTCAGTCACCTAAGTAGCTGGGACTGCAGGTGCGTGCCACCACACCTGGCTAATTTTTGTGTTTTTTGTAGAGATGAGGTTTCGCCACGTTGCCCAGGCTGGTCTCAAACTCCTGAGCTCAAGTGATCTGCCCACCTCAGCCTCCCAAAGTGTTGGGATTATAGGCTTGAGCCACCATGCCCGACCAAGCATGATTCTTTTTTTGTTTTATTTTCAGTAAAAATTCTTAAGCATGATTCTTTAAGCTTGATGCTCTACAGTGACCTAAAAAAATTTCTTCTGTGTAAAGGAACAGCATTAAAACAAAACAAAACAAAAACTAGAAATGGTTTACTTCTGGAAGAAGAAGGAAAAATCATGAAAAAGCTGTCTTATATTCAAACTTCTAGGTCAGAAACAATTGGATTAAGTGGAATAAATGAAAAACTTACATAGAAGAATACGTAAGTAAGTATTCCATCAAACTGGATCTATAATGTTTCAATATTATCCTAATCTCTGTCATATATCCTCTGTCAAACTAATACATACTCAAATTTCCTTGTCCACCAAACTCCCAGGCAAATGCCAAGCCCTACTTGGATTATTTAAACAAAATTAGGGAGTGGTTGCCAAAATAGTGTCTCACCTTAAAAGTTTCCAACAGGATATTAGCTCCGAGCTTACATGCATGCTGGTTTGGCATTCTAGAAAGACTTGGGCTGGTTTCAATAGTTTTTCCATCAAGAACCTTCTTTGGCCCATATGAATCCATCAAAATGAAACCAAGTTCTACGAGGCCCTGAGTAACATGGTCCCAGCTATGAACGCTACAAGAACACAAAGCTTAGTTAAAAAAGAAAAACTTAGTGAGATATTCTTACCTTTATACTCATTGCCCTGTTATACATTTCCCAAACTTGACCTAGATAATCAACGTACTCTGCATATAAACCTTTTCTTTACACACATCGTCTGACAGAATTCTGAATTCCTAAATGTACCATAATGGGAACAGCAGGCAAGTGGTCTCCAATGACACACAGAATACTGGGAAAATCCAGAAGCTAGAGAGTATTAAAAAAATTAAAGATTCCTATTCAAGATTTCATGATGAGAAGTTCATTGCTGCCTCTTCTATTACCCTACAGCACTGACAACGCTTATGTAGAGGCTTACAAATTAGCTCCCCTCCAAAGACAGAGATTCTCTAGGAGAGAGGTCATAGTATAGTCATATTTTTACCCACATTGCTTAGCACAAGGGTGGCATATAAAAGACACTCAGTAGATATTTATACTATAAATGGATGAGTGATCTGGTATCAACAGCATAAGCTAAAACTACAAATAATCTTTTGTAAAAGAGTAGAATCATTGGTGGTTTTATACCACTTAATGTTATACCCCACAGTGGAAATAATGTGAATATAACCTTTATCCATTATATCTACCTGTTAAATTGCAACAAATTATAATGCAGCACTACAGAATGAAGTAGACAGTTATGGATAAATTATAAGACTTTAACAGAGTTAACAATATTCATACTCTGAAGAGCCAAAAATTCAATTACATAAAATGGAGAATGCATTATTTAAAGGTTCATTAACTGACTGGGGCAAGCATGTGTAACTAACCAGCCAGTTATTTTAGAGGATCTAATAAGGCTATCCAAATCTCTCCCAGCTGAGGTTTGGTCCCACCCAGTGGCAAGTACCCACTCCAGGCTAATTATACATGGAGATGCTTTCAAGTCCTATGACAGTTGAGATTTCCAGAAGATGGGAAGCTTTCCAGGAATTTCCTGGTTAGTGAGTACCTCCTTCTTTAGCCCAACTTTAAGAGATTGGGTTGGGAAAATACTGGAGACACAAGTATAAACCTCAGGAAAAAGAATAATGAGATACAAAGATTAAAAAGCTTTAAGGCCTAACAATGGGTAAAACACTCAAACAATAAACTCTAATTTCAAATTTGCCCTACTGCAAAGCTCATGTAAATTCAATCTATTAATAAACAAGAATTCCAGGCCTAGAAGAGGCCTACCATAAATTATGCTTAAATTATGAAACTTTAAAATATATTTAATACACAGTGAAAGCATGACATAGTAAAGACTGTTACAACAGCTAATGTATATCCTGAAATTAAAATAAAAACCAGGACAGTTACTGATGTTTTCCATGTGGTTTTAAATGAATTTCTCTAAACTGGCTAATCAATAATTGAATTCCAACTGTACGCTCCAAATTTCAACAAAGTAAATAAAACTCTTAATGTTTTTTACTCACTTTAAAAAGAGGCCATGAGTCAGATGCAGTGGCATGCACCTATTATTGTCCCAGCTACTTGAGAGGCTGAGGCAGGAGGATCAGTTGAGCCCAGAAGATCAAGTCTAGCCTGGGCAACATAGTGAAAAGTTCCTACGTCTTCAGAAAAAAAAAAAAAAAAAAAAGAAGAAAGGCCAAGCCAGGCACAGGGCTACATGCCTATAGTCCCAGCTACTGAGGTGGGAGCATCACTTGAGGCCAGGAGTTTGAGGCTTTACCGTGCTATAATAGAGCCTGTGAATAGCCATTGCACTCCAGCCTGGGCAACATAGTGAGACTGTTTCCTTTAAAAAGGAAAAGAAACGGCCAGGACCGGTGGCTCAAGCCTGTAATCCCAGCACTTTGGGAGGCCAAGGCAGGTGGATTGCTTGAGCTCAGAAGTTCAAGACCAGCCTGGGCAATATGGCGAAACTCTGTCTCTACAAAAAACGCAAAAATTACTTGGGCATGGTGGAGCATGCCTGTAATACCAGGTACTCGAGAGGTTCAGGTGGGAGGATTGCTTGAGCCCAGGAGGTCAAGGGTGCAGTGAGCCAAGATTGTGGCACTACACTCCAGCCTCGGTGACAGAGTGAGACTCTGTCTCAAAAAAAAAAAAAAAAAAAAAAAGGAAAGAAAGAAAAGGAAAATAGAGAATTGTAATATCATGGAATAAACAAAAGCAACTAATTCAGTTTTGTATGCTTGCTGTCAAGGTGGCCAAGAAACCAGGGCCTGAGATTCAAGGATATTTCCATAGGGAAAAAGTATCCTCTACCAGTTTTAAGAAAATGAACCTCGATGTGTGACGTCAACAGCTGTTAAGTCATCAGTTTCCCCTCACAGGCTGCAAGTATGATATCACATTGCATTTTCTAACATTAAACACCTTATAAACCTTTTGAGATATGGTTCACCAACTTACCTATTCTTCACTACTTCCAAGATCATGGTTGAAACATAAGATCTATGAGGAACTAGATTCTGAAGAAATTTTGAGCCTTGGAGGAGTTGAAGATCCTTAAAGCTCTTTACAACCGAAGTCTTTAAAAGATCAAGCACCTTGAGTATAGTTAATAAAAATAAATGAAAAAATAAATAAATAAAAGATCAAGCACCTAACAGAATGAAAGAAATAAGAAAATAAAGCAAATATTATATAGCTCATGCTATAAATCTTAACCTTATAACTGTTCCTATGAGCTGCCATTCACATATATCCCTATGACAACTATTTTAACTAGATGAAGATGTTACAAAAATTATGACATTCAGTGGGAACTTTAAGGAGCTGAAGACAAGCCTTCCTTAAGAAAAAAGGGGGAAAAAAGGCTAAAAGTCAATATAAATATTACCCACAACCTGGAACACATATAAGAAAAAAATTGTAAATTTCATCCTTGCAACTAACCTACTCTTGGAAAGCTACAACATAGTAAAACTGCTGGTGAATATCCAGCTAAATTGTCCCTTCCTCCAACTGGGGCTGTGTGGTATCCTTCCACTCTTATTCCCACCTCACTACCTAGCTTACCACACAACAGGAAACGGAGGAATAAACCAAAAACCTGTAAAAGTTTTCCATCAATCCCCAGAGAACAGAGGGGACATACATGTCTTATTGCAGCTTTGCTGCTGGCAGGAAGGGGATAAAATTGTTTAGGAACGGATACAACAAAAACAGATTACTGTGATTTTTTTTTTTTTTTTTTTTTTTTACCAACTACAGAAAGAAACAAAATGGCATTTTAAAAAAATACCTGGTCCTGAAATCTTTGTATTCTTGTTACAGACAGAAGAAGAGCAATGCTGAAGGGACTTAAGTTATTATTGGAATCTCCTTGCTGTCCTACCTAGAAGAGAGCAACCAAAAGGAAGTCATTTACTTACATTTTCTTTTTTCTTTTTTTTTTTTTTTTAAAAAAAAAAAGATTGGGTCTCTCTGTTGCCCAGGCTAGAGTGCAGTGATGCAATCATAGCTCACTGCAGCCTTGATTTCCCAGGCTCAACGGATCCTCCTGGCTTAGCCTCCCAAGTAGCTGGGACTATACCATGCCTGGCTAATTTTTTAATTTTTAATTTTTAATTTTTTTGGAGAGATGAAGTCTCACTATGTTGCCCAGGAGAGTCTCAAACTCCTGGCCTCAAGTGATCCTCCCACCTTGGTCTCTCAAAGTGCTGGGATTACAGGTGTGAACCACCACACCTGGTCCCATTACATACATCTTAAAAGTATAACAGCCTATTTAACAGTAAGTCCCTTGGCCGGGTGTGGTGGCTTATGCCTGTAATGCCAGCACTTTGGGAGACTGAGGCAGGTGGGTCACTTGAGGTCAGGAGTTCAAGATCAGTCTGGCCAACATGGTGAAACCCTGTCTTGTAAAGTACAAAAATTAGCTGGGAGTGGTGGCACACACCTGTAATCCCAGCTACTCGGGAGGTTGAGGCAGGAGAATCACTTGAATCTGGGAGGCGAAGGTTGCAGTGAGCTCAGATTGCGCCACTGCATCCCCCAAAAAAGTCCTTATGACTCGAGAGACATAAAAAACATTTTTTAATAGTAATAAAAAATAAAAATAGGTCCTTGAATGGATCAGAAATCCAAATGTAAGAGCAAAAATTGTAATATTTTTAGAGGAAAACATATAGAAAAATTTCAAGACCTTGGATTAAGTAAAGATTGCTTACATACAATACCAAAAGCATAATTTCTACAAGAAAAAATTGATAAACTGGACCTCACCAAAATTTAAAACTTTTGTACTTCAAAAGATACCATTAAGAAAATAAAAAGACAAGTCACAGACTGAGAAAAAATATTTGCTAATTATATACCTGATAAAGAACTTGTCACCATTCATAACAAAGTTATTGAAAAAATAAAAAAGAGCTTGTCAGTAGAATATACAAAGAATTTTAATTAAGAAGACAAACAACACACTCAAAAAACGGGCAAAAGATTTGAATAGACATTTCACCAAAGAAGGTATTAGAACAGTTAATGAGCACATGAAAAGATGCTCAATTATCATCAGTCATTAAGAAAATGCAAAGTTAAACCTCAATGAGGTACTGTTTCATACCCATTAGAATGGATATAATAAAAAAGACAGACAATAACAAATGTTGGCCAAGACACAGAGAAATAGGAACCCTCACATAGTGATAGTGGGAATGTAAAATGATACCGTTTTGGAAAACAGGCAGTTTCTTAAAAATATAAACATAAATTTCTCATATAAGCCAGCAGTTCTACTCCTGGATATATGCACAAAAGAAATAAAATGTATGTCCACACAAAGACTTACATTTGAATGTTAGTGGCAGCATTATTTGTAATAGCCAAACAGTAGAAACAATTCAAATGTCCACCAGCTGGGAGACTGCTAAACAAAACTCATATATATCCACACAATGGAATACTATTCAACAATAAAAAGAAATGAGCCTGATATGGTAGCTCACACCTGTAATCCCAGCTACTCAGGAGGCTGAGGCAGGAGGATCACTTGAGGTCAGGAGTTCACAGCAAGACCTCCATCTCTTAAAAAAATTGTTTACAAATTAGCCAGGCATGGTGGTGTGCGCCTGCGGTCCTAGCTAGTCAGAACTCTACAGTGGGAGGATCACTTGAGGCCAGGAGTTTGAGGGTGCAGTGAGCCATGATCATGATATTGCACTCCACCCTAGGTGACAGAGTGAGACCATGTCTCCTAAAACAAACAAAACAATAAAAAGAAATGAAATACTGACATACGCTACAACACAGGTGAATCCTGAAAACATTACACTTAATGAAAGAAGACATACACAAAAGACCACATATCATATAATTCCATTTATACAAAATATCTAGGAAAGGTAAATCTATAGAGACAGAAAGTAGATTAGTGGTTACCTGGGACTGGGAGTGCTAATGCAGATTAAATGGGCATAAAAGATCTTACAGGGTGATAAAAAATGTTCTAAAATTGGATTATAGTGACAGTTACAAAACTAGGTAAATTTATGAAAAAAAATCACTGGATTGCATGCTTAGAATAAAATAATTTTGTGCTATGTAAATTGTGCCTCAAAAAGTTTAAAGAATACATTTTCAAGGCCTAGAAAAGATACTAGTAAAACAAAAAAAATGTAAAATAAAACAGCAATCAAATGGAAAACAAAAAGAAAACAACAGACTGGATCAAAATACATAAAGCTGGTAAAAAGGCCAGCAATATAGTTACTACGAACCTAAATTTAAAAAAAGAGTGAACAGATACAGAGAAGATAAAGAAGTTTTAAAGCCTACTCAGATTATGGTCTTTAAATATCCTTTCCTACAGAAGGGACCCAGGGCTTTTTAGAGACATGGCTAGCATCAGGATGGGGCAAAGAAAGTACTATGGTGAGCCTTGGGCATATCATGCCACAAGCTCAAAGACTAAATGGGGTCACATCAAAAGAACACATAAGCTGACTTGAAGGATCCAACTGGCTAAATTTGGGTAATTTTGTGCTCAAAACAAATAATGACAGTAATGAATAATAAGTACATTGAATTTAAAAAGGTTCATGAGTGCATAATGATATTCAAAACAATAGGGAAAGGAGAGGCTCTTTTTACAGAAGAATGCCAGCTAATAATGCCGAAAGAAAGATGCAATTAAAATTTTCTAATTAAAATTAGAATTCCTTGGGAACAGATTGTGAGGACAAAAAAAAGAAAAAAAAAATAAGATATAAAATTTGAATTCCTGGTATAATTACTGATTTAGGCCAAGAATCATCAATAGATGGGAAAACGAAAACCTTCTGTGAAATGTTGTTGGGAAAAGGATTTTGAATACTATCTCGAACTATGATCCTATAGATTTCTTTCTAATACAAAGGGATACATATGTACCTATAAATGAAGAAAATCAATGGTCATTTTCTTAAAAGCAAATGATTCAGCCTCACAAATAGTAAGGTAGCTAATACTATGTTCCTCCTGATGTAATGCACAGAACAGTGGTTGGCAAACTACATACAGCCTGTTGGCCAAATCCAACCCACTACCTGTTTTTGTGCAACCCATGAGCTAACACTGGTTTTTATGGTTTTAAATGGTTGGGGGAAAAAAAAAATCAAAGGAAGGCCAGTGCAGTGGCTCACGCCTGTAATCTCAGCACTTTGGGAGGCCAAGGCAGGCAGATCACTTGAGGCCAGGAGTTGAAGACCAGCCTGGCCAATATGGCGAAACCCCACCTCTATTAAAAATACGAAAATTAGCCAGGCGTGGTGGCACGCACTTGTAGTCCCAGCTACTTGGGAGGCTGAGGCATGAGAATCACTTGAACCTGGGAGGTGGAGGTTGCAGTGAGCCAAGATTGGGCCACGGCACTCTAGCTTGGGTGACACAGTGAGACTCTGTCCAAAAAAAAAAAACAAATCAAAGGAAGAATAATATCCCACAATATAAAAACGGAATAAAATTCAGATTTCAGTGTCCATAAATGGGAAAACAGCCACACTCGTTAGTACATTTTGTCTATGGCTGCCTTCTTGCTGGAACCGTAAAGCTGAGTAGTTGTGACAGAACCTGCATGGCCTGCAAAGTGTAAAATATTAGTATCTGGCCCTTGCAAGAAAATGTACACATCACTTACGAAGTATTCTTGCCAAAAATGTTTAACTTGAACCCAATCGTGAGGAAACAATCAGATAAATCCAAAAATGTGGGACATTACACAAGACAAGTGGGCTGATGCTTCAAAAAAATCAGTCTAAAACTAGAAAGAAAGAACAACCAAATGCAATGCATGAAGCCTGATGAGAGCCTGGAGCAGAGGAAAAAAAAAACACAGCTGCAAAAGACATTTTAGAGACAACTGTGAAAATGTGAATAGGGAATATAAATTAAATAATATTATGGAATTATTGTTAATTTTCTTAGATGTGATGATGGTATTGTGATAATGTGTCCTTATTCTTAGCATGCTGAAATATTCAGGCATTGAAGTGTTAGGGTTTGGGTTTCTGCATCTTACTTTTAAATGTTCAGAAAAAGAATATGTATGAGAGAAAAAGTGAGGTAAATGTGGCAAAGTGTCTAATAATTGGTCAATCTAGGTGAAGGGAACATAGGTGTTCTTCACGCTATGTAGTGTTTTAACTTTTCTGAGTTAGAATTTTCAAACTAAAAAGTTGGAGGAACAAATATATCTGTACACTACTTTTAATATAGTTTAAAACACTTCTGAGTTTTATTTTACTGCTTTACAAATACTTCATGATGAATGACTTAGCATCACACAACTCCACGATATACTACTAGATGCAACATCCTAGTTCATAAATGAGAAAGCAGAGGCCATAGCTGAAGGTCACATAAGACAGTGACACATAATCTACTTAGAATTAGATTTTGAGTTTCCTGCTGAATAGTTCTCACCTTTTTTCCCACTTTTTTGCGTTAGAACTTTTGAGGGTTTTTTTAAATAGAACTTTCTGGCTTGCTTAAGGATGTGGTATACTGCTAAAGTGAGGACATTAAAAAAAAGGGAGTGTGGTAACATCATGTATTTTCCACTTTTAAAGTAAAAAAAAAAAAAGAGATCCTCCACACCCAGGGTCATTTTACAGTATTTATTTCCTGTCATTAACTGGCATAACAGTGGCTTAAGTTCAAACACTTTCATTCAAAAGAGACCCAGATCACCTTACAAGTTTGATGCTACCTTTAAGTGTTTCACGAGTTCTCTGCCTAGTTCATAGTCCAATTTGATGGCAAACACAATGTGTAGAATAATGGTGCCTTCCACATGACGAAGTTCACCTGATGGCACAGTGACAACATCCAATAGCCTAAAAGATTCAACAGAAAGTTATGAGCTATAAGGTGCAGTGGCTCATGCCTGTAATGCCAGCACTTTGGGAGGCCAAGGCGGGCGCATCACTTGATCCCAGGAGTTCAAGACCAGCCTCTACTAAAAATACAAAAAAATCAGCCCGATGTGGTGGCATTCCTATAGTCCCAGCTACTTGGGAGGCTGAGGTGGGAGGATTGCTTCAGCCCGGAAGGTGGACGTTGCCGTGAGCCAAGATTGTGCCATTGCACTTCAGCCTAGGCAACAGAGAGACCCTGTCTCAACAACAACAAAAAAAAGGTATGAGCTATGGTTTTTGAGTGAGAGACAAGGACAGGTGCTACGATGAGCAAGTAGACCAACTCAAGCTAAACTCATACAATCACTGAAGGCAGGTGTTTACTAGAAATTCTACTGCCCAATTTTCTGCTCCTGTCTGTCTGTCTATCTATCTATCCATCTATTTATCTGAGACAGGGTCTCGCTCTGTCACTCAGGCTGGTGTGCAATGGCATGATCATAGCTCACTGTGGCCTCAACCTCCCAGGCTCAAACGATCCTCCCACCTCAGCCTCCTGAGTAGCTGGGACTACAGGCATGTGCCACTATGCCCGGCTAATTTTTCTATTTTTTGGTAGAGATGGAGTTTCACTATATTGCCCAGCTGGTTTTGAACTCCTGGGCTCAAGTGATTCTCATGCCTCAGCCTCCCAAAACGTTGGGATCACAGGCACGATTCACTGTGCCCAGACTCTGCTTCTTTTTACAAGATTTCGTAAAATAAATGTGTATAGTCATAATTTCTCCTTTTTTATCTCACAATCTCTTCCCAGTACAATCCAATTCAATCAGGCTTCTATCCTCTTTCTACCCTCACCCCCACAATAACATTAGATTATTTTTTCAAGGGTCACAAATGACCTCCAAGTTGTCAAAAACAATAAAGTCCCATCTTAATTAACATCTCAGATCTGACACAATTAACTACTTCTTTCTTGAAAAATTTTCTTCTCTTAGCTTCCAGGGCATCATCACTGGCCTCTTCTCAAAAAAAAAAAAAAAAATTTTTTTTTTTTGAGACAAGGATTCACTCCCATTGCCCAGGATGGAATGCAAAGGTGCAATCTCAGCTCACTGCAACCTCCGCCTCCTGAGCTCAAGTGATTCTCCTGCCTCAGCCTCCCAAGTAGTTGGGACTACAGGCATGAGCCACTGCGCCTGGCTATTTTTGTACTTTTTGTAGAGATAGGTTTTTACCATGTCATCCAGGCTGGTCTTGAACTCCTGAGCTCAAGCAATCTGCCTGCCTCGGCCTCCCAAAGTGCTTGACCTTGAAATGGTGGAATGCCTCTGAACTCAGTCTTAGGTTTTTCTTCATGCTTTCCCTTGATAATCCCATCCAGTCTCTTGGCTTTAGTCCCTTCCAGTCTTATCCCCAGTTCAGCCCTCTCCCTACTACTCCAGAGTACCTGCTTAATATCTCCTTATGGGACCCTAATATATATCTCAAACCTAGTGTGGTCAAAAGTGAGCTAATTAAAAAAAAAAAAGTGAGCTAATTATTTTCTCCAAAATCTGATTCTCTGTCAGCTTATTCTAATTTAGTATCTAAGACCACCTTCTCTGCTGGGTGTGGCAGCTTGCTCCTGTAATTCCAGCACTTTGGGAGGCTGAGGCAGGAGATCGCCTGAAGCTAGGAGTTCAAGACCAGCCTGGGCAACACAGTGAGACCATCTCTAGAAAAAATTTTTAAAATTAGCCAGGCTTGGGCCAGGTGCAGTGGCTCACGCCTGTAATCCCAGCACTTTGGGAGGCCAAGGTAGGCGGATCACTTGAGGTCAGGAGTTCGAGACCAGCCTGGCCAATATGGTGAAAGCCCGTCTCTACTAAAAATACAAAAAGTAGCCGGGCGTGGTGGCACGCACCTGTAACCCCAGCTACTAGGGAGGCTGAGGCAGGAGGATCGCTTGAACCCAGGAGGCAGAGTTTGCAGTGACCTGACATCATGCCAATGTACTCCAGCCTGGGCAACACAGTGAGACTTCCTCTCAAAAAAAAAAAAAAAAAATTAGCCAGGCATAGTGGTGGGTGCCTGTAATGCCAGCCACTTGGGAGGCTGAGGCAAGAGAATCACTTGAACTTGGGAAGCAGAGGTTGCAGTGAGCCGAGATCACACCACTGTACTCCAGCCTGGGTGACAGAGACTCCATCTCAAAAAAAAAAAAAAAAAACAGTAGCCAGGCTTGGTGTCACGTGCCTATAGTCCCAGCTACTTGGGAAGCAGAGGCTGGAGGGTCACTTGAGCCCAGGAATTGGAGGCTGTAGTGAGCTATGATGGTGCCACTGTACTCCAACCTGGACAACAGGGCAAGACACTCTTAAAAAAAAAAAAAAAAAAGAAATAAGAAACCACCTCTAATAAATTGCTCAAGCCAAACTAACTAAATTCTTTGTCTCTCGATTTCCATATCCATAAAGTAGAGGTAAAATAGGGTTGTGAGGTTTAAAGTGCTTAGAATAGCCCCTGGCACAGAATGAACATCCTACAAATGTTTGCTTAAAAAACAAAAAATCCGGCCAGGCACGGTGGCTCACGCCTGTGATCCCAGCACTTTGGGAGGCCGAGGCAGGTGGATCACCTGAGGTCAGTTCAAGACCAGCCTGGCCAACATGGTGAAACCCCATCGCTACTAAAAATACAAAAAGTTAGCTGGGCGTGGTGGCGCATGCCTGCAATCTCAGCTACTCAGGAGGCTGAGGGAGGAGAATCTCTTGAACCCAGGAGGTGGAGGTTGCACTGAGCCGAGATCGTACCACTGCACTCCAGTCTGGGCAACAGAGTGAGACCCCATCTCAAAAAAAAAGAAAGAAAGAAAAAACAAAAATCCTTGGCCAGGCACAGTGGCTCATGTCTGTAATCCCAGCACTTTGAGAGACCGAGGAGGGTGAATCACTTCAGGCCAGGAGTTTGAGACCAGCCTGGCCAACATGGCAAACCCTGTCTCTGCTAAAAATACAAAAATTAGCTGGGCGTAGTGGTGCGCACCTGTAGTACCAGATACTCAGGAGGCTGAGGCAGGAGAATCACTTGAACCTGGGAGGTGGAAGATGCAGTGAGCTGAGATCATGCCAATGTACTCCAGCCTGGGCCACAGAGCTACACTCTGTCTCAAAAACAAAACAAAATGAAACAAAAAAAACCCAAAATCCTCTTTCTCAGACATGTCACACTGTTCTTCTGCCTTTGTATTATTTCCCTACCTGAGAATGTTCTCTGATCTATATATTATGGATCTTATCATTCAGGCTTCAGTTAAAATAGCACATCTGAGAGAGGTTTTCCCTGACCCAATCTAAAGTAGCTATACTGTCAGTGGTAGATCATCCATTTGAATTACCTGCATAGCACTTTTACTATAACATTTTTCTTGTTATTTATTTTCTTTCCTCTTCTCACTAAAATTGAAGTTCTACAAGAGCAGGGACATTGTCTGACTGGTTCAGCACGGTAGCCCCAAGGCTAAACAGTTCCTGGCAGAGAGCTGACACCTAATAAATAGGTTTTAAACTTGCAGCTTATAGGACAATTATTTTCCTGGAAAGGTGAAAATGAAAGAGCTGAAGAGATCATGTTATTCTCTTTATTACTGAGTAGCTAAGAGAAGATTAGAAAAGTTTTGTGCTGAGGTGAAGGTAGGCGGTGAGAGAGAAGAAAATGAAATAGCTAAAATACACAATGAGAAGATGAATTTGTAAAAATGATCTTTATTTCTACACTATATTACTCACTCGTCACCACTCTGTTCCTCATTGTGCTGCTTATCTAGTGCACTGAAGAAGGCTATGATTCCTTCCAAAACACTCTTTCTGCTTCCCTGAAAACAATACAAAATTGGTAAGGTCTCCCAATTAACAGCAAAATAACCAATTTGAATTCAAAGTAGTTTTCAGCTTAAAGAATTCTCCAGTACAAATTTAAATAAATAATCTATGACTTAGACTCAAACTAAGAATGTATAGAACACTTTCATGTTGAAACAAGATTTGAAATACCTCTTACTGTAAGAATTTATGGGGCCTATAGTCTACCCTTTCTGAGATCTTTATCCCTTTTACCTCCGCAAAGAAAATGTGGCAATACAAGAGATAATGCATGTTTTCCTTGGATGAGAAGTATGATCCTTTTACCAGACCAAACCACTATATGTGAAATGAAAGCATCTATGTTCGGCTATGTTTGCTCACGTGAAATGAAAGCATCTATGTTCGGCTATGTTTGCTCTGCTATATAAACCAAGGGTATGAATAAGTTGAATGGTCATAACTGGTCATACCACCAGAACTAAGGAGAAACAATTTTCCATTTGTACCTTGGAGGAGAGAACCAGAAGCTGATAGACCAAAGGTGGTATTTCTTGAAGATTCATCTTGGAGAACATGCTCAATGCTTTTTCCACCACAAATTCCACCTCTTCTGCAGTCAGAGGGACATCCCTGTGGATCAAAGATTCTAAAGGCTATAGACAGTGTCTAACTGCCTTGTTTTCAGAAATTCAATTCAGGGCTTTACAGTGGTTAAAATTCCATTAAACATATTTTAAGAAATGAAACTTGGGAGCAGAGAATTAAAGAGATAATAGATTATTATAACTGTCCCTTTTGATTTTTCTCTAATGAAGAACCTTTAAGGGAACCAATAACCTTACCTAAGCAAAGTCATTCTTATAAAAAAAATAAAGTTATGTTTTAAATAAGTAAGTAAAGCCAAAAAGGAGGCAGGAGTGAGGAGGGAATCTGTGAATCTGTAACAGAAAACATAACTACTAATATTCTTACAATCAGGAGAGAGTGATGTTTACGTTTGCTATAGTTTAATTTCTAGCAAGTAAGTTCACAAAGCAGGATACACAAAGAAAAGGGAAAAGATGATGCTTACTTGAACATGGAGGTGAGTTGGATTACATATT
The DNA here is from genome assembly GCF_000001405.40 of Homo sapiens. Classification (NCBI taxonomy): domain Eukaryota; kingdom Metazoa; phylum Chordata; class Mammalia; order Primates; family Hominidae; genus Homo; species Homo sapiens. The sequence continues at coordinate 89,263,429 of NC_000015.10, read as the reverse complement.
GCTGATCCCACCTGGTAGAAGAAAATGACAAAGTTTATTTCTTTACAACTTATTTAGATATAACTTTGTAAAATTAATGAGGACAAAAAAACAGGGCCAATTCAAGTTTGATTTTGCAATACCGAGAAACAAGATCAAATAAATACCATTTAAAACAATGAAATAGCAGTTGTTAACCTACCCGACTCGCAAAATCAAAATTCTGATGATACCCAATGTTGGTGAGATTGTGGAAAACAAACTCTATTCACATACCGTTTTAGGGAATGTATGACAAGCTGGCAGTAGTTATCAACTTTAAAAATGCACATAATCACAGATCTACCCAATTTACTATTTGAAATATATGCCATGTACATGCTTATAAAAGGTCATCTAGATATATAAAGATGTTCAGGCCAGGTGCAGTGGCTCATGCTTATTATCCCAACACTTTGGGAGGCCAAAGGAGGAGGATCCCTTGAGGCCAGGAGTTCAAGAGACCAGCCTGGCCAATAAAGCAAGATTCCCATCTCTATTTAAAATTAAAAAAGACATTCATTGCAACACTCTTTGTAATAGCACAAAAACTGGAAATAACCAAATAATCTGACAATTGTAGATTAGCCAAATAATAGATTACTGCAAACCATTAAAAAGAATGATGTAGAGTTGTATATGCTGACATGGACAGTTGTATTAAATAAAAAATGCAAGGTATATTACAGTATGTATTGAATAAACTCTTGTGTAATTAAAAACAAATTAATTGACAAATACATGCTTAAAATGATTTATGTAAGGGATCTTATGTAAGGAACCATAAAAGCAATTATCTCTGGTTTAGATAATCTTGGGTATTCCCTTCTTGTTCTTTTTAACAAACCTACACGCAATCACAGTATTATATAACATAGTAATCTCTTTGTTAATTATATGGTTAGAATTTTTCATCTTTGATGTATACATTTCACTTTTAATAGGTATAAATGTCATGGAGTGGCTCTACCTTAACTTACATAGTTTACATGTCTCTATTACTGTATGCTTATACTGGTCACAAATTTCTGTGTTGAACATGTTCATATGTGAGGATTTTCTTGTATGTTGCAGTCATTCTTTAATGTAGATTCCCAGAAATACAATTACTGGTTAAAGGATACATCACTTGTATATTCTACTCCCTCAAAAAAAAAAGAAAAAAGAAAAAAAGAAAAGATGCAGCAGCAGGGTGACTTTCCCAGCCTTCACGACCTTGAGACTCCAATAATGCTTAGATTGGAGCATTAAACACACTAAATTAACATTTAATTATGTGTATCTTAACACACTAAATTGCTGTAAGAAGATACAGTCAAGCAAATAAAACTATATGAACAGTCTTAGAGGACAGAATATAGTAAATCATTTCTTTCTCACTAATTCATTGCAGACTAAATAGTTTTATAGTGTTATATTAAAAACAACAAAAAAGAAGGACTTAAAACCTCCAGACATAAATTCCTGAAATAAAGTGGTTTTTTTTCCGCCACTTGTATTCCTAAGAAAGTTATACATATTAACAAGACTCACCTGCCAGAACACAGGGTGTTAATCAACTGTTTCTTACATTCTTCCCCACTCAGTACACCTAGAAATGCAAAATATACTGAGCAATGAATTTGATTATGTGCATAGAGAAAAAGCCACTAAAGTCGGAAGAAAATTACCTTTTCCATAAGCCAGATTTTCCTTTTTCGTAGCCAGGGCAGTGAGAATGATAGGTAGTAACTCCAAAGATTTTCCATTCACTAGGCTGCCTTCTCTGACAGCACTAATAAACTCATTGGCTAATTCAACCAATAATGGTCCTGGAAAATGGTGAGCCTAAAAGTTCACAGGATAAAGGAAATCTCAAGCAGAAATCCAATGTTTGATAAATCTTTCTAAGAAATAAAGTCTTTTGCTGAAATAAATGAATTGACCGAGATCCAGAACTGGTCCCATAAGGGATTTATGGAATCATTCTGCTCTGTCTGGTACGTAGTTATAATTGTGAAGGGCTTCAAAAGTTAGAATCCTGTATCGGTTCCCTGATGTTTTCAGATATGCCAGCTCTTCAAAGAGATATATGTCCATGGTACCAGAAATGTAATATATACACCTAAGTGGATTATAACCCATTCATCTGCTTTTTTTTTGAGACGGGGTCTCACTCTGCTGCCCAGGCTGGACTGCAGCGGTGCAATCTCGGCTCACTGCAACCTCCGCCTCCCTGGCTCAGGCGATCTTCCTGCCTCAGCCTCCCAAGTAGCTGTGACCACTGACATGCGCCACGAGCCCGGCTAATTTTTTTTCTTTTGTATTTTTGGTAGAGATGGGGTTTCACCATGTTGCAGAGGGTGGTCTCAAACTCCTGAGCTCAAGCGATCCTCACCTCAGCCTCCCAAAGTGCTGGGATTACAGGTGTGAGTCACCATGCCCGGCCTGCTTCTTTGTTTTTTAACAACAGGTCTTACTCATAAATAAGGACTATGCTAGGTTGGGCACTTAAGTTTTCCTTCCCTCAACAAATTACAAACCCTCAAAAACCTACCCCCAAATAAAAGTTTTTGTTTGCCATCTTACCTCCAGCATCAGTAATCCTATGATCTCAGACGCTATTTCTTTCTGCAAATCCCCCGATTCCACCAACTGGATACAACAAGTGTATATCTTACGTCTCCTAAGTGTTCCAGCTTCCTCAGAGCAGGGGGAACCTTATTGTTTTAAACAGGGGGTTCAGAAACAAGTCTTACAACATTGACAGGTAAATAGGAAAAACGAACAGGTTTGTAGTTAAATACAAAAAAACAGAATTATCAAACGACTGATTACTACGGTGCTTAGAACAGCAATGGTTAAGGGCTTTGAAAAAGTGCTTAATTTAGCCAAAATAAAGGGACTAAAATGTCATCTTTTCTTCATCTACCTATTATTTTAATAATTACAGGATGAAGTAACCTTCTAATAGGTCTTACAGCTTTTGAGAAGTCCAGTAACCCAAATTTAATAACTAATCTATTTTCTTCAGACTTCTGCAATCGTTCTTTAAAATCAAAACATTTAGCAAGCTGACTTTTTTAATGTGCTCTATACAAATACTTGTGAACTTTTAATAAGTTGAGTGCTTTCATTTGGATAAGGGGATCTCCATTTGATATTTTCATTTGTATAATTCATTTGCAGTCTGAAAATTTTTTTTTAGTGCCGATCCTGGAACATATCATTAAAGTTAATTTTCTTTGCATTTTAAAATATCTGGATCATGTAGAAAAAGTGATGAAAATAAATCAAAACTGAAAAAAAAAGATAATAACAAGTGTTGATGAGGATGTGAAAAAATTGGCATCCTAATCCAGCCACATTGGAAAACAGTTTGGCGGTTTCTCAGTTAAACATAAGAGTTTCCACATGATCCGGCAATTCCACTCCTAGATATATATCCAAGAGAAAGGAAAACATGTCCGCACAAAAATTTATACACAAATGTTCATAGTAGTATTATAATGGCCAGAAAATAGATACAACTTAAGTCTTCATCAACTCATGAATGGAAAAATGTTGTATATCCACATAATGGAATATTATTCAGCAGTAAAAATAAAGTACTGATACATATTACAACATAGAGGAACCTTTGTAACATTATAAACGAAAGAAGTCAGTCACAAAGGACCATATATAGAATGATTCCACTAAATGAAATGTCCAGAATAGACAAATCTGTAGAGACAAAAAGTAGATTCGTGGTTTCTTAGGACTGGAATGGACTAGGGGTTTGGAGAGGTGACATCTAAGAGATGCAAACCTTCTTTCAGGGGTAAGGAAATTGTTTTAAAATCAATTGTGGTAATGGATACACAACTCTGAATATACTAAAAGCCATAGAATTGCTCTTCCATTTAGTAGTAGTGTACGTAGGCAGTTGCTATTGATCTTTAATTATTTCCTTTTCTCTGATATTTCTATAAAATATTTAGCAAGTTTCCATACAGGTTGACTCAACCAATCTTGAAAGTTCTTTCATGAATAGGAAGATGTGTTTTTGTACCCTTGCAGCAGAGATCTAATTTACTTGGGGGAAGAAAAATAAACCAAGTTAACATACCTAATTAAGAGTCCAAAGACACTTTTAATTTTTGCCTTGTAAAATTTTATCCTACCAGAATTTATAAAACCACTATAAATCACAATCTGCAACAATTTAAACTAGCCCTTGTTCAAGACAAGAAAACAAATACGTCTCAGCGGGCATGAAGAATCTCTATATAAGGCACCTTAAGATACCCCATTTCATTAAACCCCAGAGGTTACTTGCCCCTTGCTAAGCATGGATTATGTATTAAACATTGCTGTTCTCTTCTCCACAATCTTAAAAGCACAAGTAAACCAAAGCAGATTTTACGAAAAGCACATTCTGTAATTATAGGCCCCCAAATCAGCAACGCAATCTCAGGTAGCCACTTCAAACTCCCTTCAGTAAAATTACTTAAGTCCACTAGACAGGAAACTGCTGCTGTAGTTGATTCTGTAGAATCCTCAAAACATGGAAAATGTTCCAGTGGGGCTTCAAACCGTAAGAAAAGTACGAAAACTAAACAAATCTACCAATGAATGCAGGAGACAGACAGAAGTGACATTAATTATTATTACCTTTGAAGATGGCTCTCAGGAGTGCTCCAGCAACTTTTCCTTTCACTGCTTGATTCTGAAGGAGATTAGTCAACTGCAAAGAAAGAAAAAGGTACAAGTCTCTGGCAACAGTCTTTTACCCCAATGACCTAAACACTCAATATGAAAAAGTACTCTTCTGTCACGTTCAGATCATTCAGAGACGCCAAGTATTACAAACACCATAATTTTTAGACAGAGGAGGGTATATCTTAATATGATCCTGGATTGTCAAGACTAAAATCTATTCTTACTCATTCTATAAACATTTATGTTTATAACTTAGCACTAAGTTGGGAACATACATTCATCCAACAAATACTTTTTGAGCATGTTATTTTCCTTAGGCATGTTATAAAGATGAACAAAACAGACATAGTAATTTGACTCAGAGTTCATAACAGAGCAGGAGGGGAAAGGATGGCAGAAAAAAATTGTAAAAGAACCAAATAAGAGGCTGAGATAGACAATAAGTGAGGAAAGGAAGGAAATTTCCTCTAGGGTAGTAAGGGGAAGCTTCTCAGAAGTAGGTGACATTTAAGTAGAGACCTGGCGGACAAGAAGGAGCTAATTATTCAAAGGCGTTAGAGAAGGATATTCCAGATGGAAGTATGATCACGTGCAATGTCCAAGAAGCAGCAAAGAACTTGGCATATTTGAGGCCAAAGCCTTGCTTAAAAAAAAAAAAATCAACATGGCTGGAGAATAATAAAGAAAAGAGTAGTAGAAGATGAGTTTGAAGAGAAACGGGAAAGGACCAGATTATGAAGAATCTTACAGGCCATGGTAGGAAGTTTAGCTTTTCTCTAAGTGCAACGGAAGTTACTAAAGAGAAAAGAAGGAAATGGGATGATAGATTTTTCAAAAATCATCCTTGCTCCTTGTGTGGAGAATGAGTTATGGGGGTTTAAGAGTGAAATGGGGATACCTGTTAGTAGACTGCTACCATGTTTAAGAGAGAGATGACAGTGGCCTAGACCAAAGTAATAGAGGCATTATGAATTGAATTGTGTCCTCCCCACAACCCCAAATTTCATATGTTGAAGCTCTAACCCCCAGTATTTCAGAATGTGACCTTATTTGGAAATTGGGCTCTTCTTGTAGGTGAGATTAGTTGAGGTCATTAGGATGGGTCCTAATCCAAAGACTAATGCCCTTATAAAAAGGGGAACTCTGGACACAGAAACACAAACAGGGGGAATGTCAGGTGAAGATGAAAGCAGATATCAGGTGATACAAGCCAAGGAATGCTAAAGGTTGCCAACAAACCACCAGAAGCTAGGTGAGAGACACAGAACAAATTCTCATAGCCCTCAAAAGGAACCAACCCTGACAACACTTGATCTTGCACTTCTAGTCTCCAGAACTGTGAAACATTACATTGCTGCTATTTAAGCTACCCAATTTGTGATACATTGTAACAGCAGCCCTAGCACACTAATACAGGCGATGAAGAAAAGTAGATAGATCTAAGATAAATATTTGAGAACTAAGAATAGAAATTCCTTAGTTTGGAAGGGAAGTAGGGGGTGGTGATGAAGGAAAAGAAATCTGGCCAAGCGTGGTGGCTCATGCCTGTAATCCCAGCACTTTGGGAGGCCGAGGTGGGCAGATCACAAGGTCAGGAGATCAAGACCATCCTGGCTAACACGGTGAAACCCCGTCTCTACTAAAAATACAAAAAATTAGCCGGGCGTGGTGGCGGGCACCTGTAGTCCCAGCTACTTGGGAGGCTGAGGCAGGAGAATGGCATGAACCCGGGAAGCGGAGCTTGCAGTGAGCCGAGCTCACGCCCCTGCACTCTAGCCTGGGTGACAGAGCGAGACTCCATATCAAAAAAAAACAACAAAAAAGAAAGAAATCAAGGAGGATTCCTAAATTTCTGGCTTAAGCAGCTAGCTGGTGGATAGTGGCACCATCTGTTTACGTGCTGAAAATTTGGGATTAAGGAAGCATCTAAATCACCCTGAGAGCTTACTAAATTTCCAGGATCTACCCACAGTTTATGATTCGGGTCTGCTGTGAGGCTCAGAACCACTACTCTGAGATATCCAAGTGGAAGTGCCAAATAGATGACAATGAAATATGCCAAGTGGAGCATCAATGGAAACAGATGAGACCATCCAGGAAAGAATATAAAGAAGAGAAACACCAAGAGTCAGTCATTAAAAAGAGAAGCAGCTGCCAGCAAAGACAATGGAGAAAGTGAAGTCAATAACATTGGAGGATAATCTCGAGAGAGAGGTGTCACAGAAGCCAAGACTAATAAAACAATAAACTCTCTCTTCCACAAGTACATGAGGCTGGTGTTTCTAGCTGGAGTCCATCTCTCTATTAAATATATAATAAAGAAGTATCTGACTACTCTTGCCTATACCTTCCAACAGAGTACTTGGTCCTTGACATAACCCTTAGAGCAGCAGTTCTCAACCAGTGATTTTTGTCCCCCAGGGGACACTAGACAATGTCTAGAAACATTTCTGGTTGTCACAACTGGAAGGATGCTGTTGGAATCTAGTGGGTAGAGGTAAGAGATGCTATCAAACATTCTGCAATGCACTGGACAGCCCACCACAACAAAGATTTATCCGAGCCAAAACGTGAGCACTGCCAAGGCTGAGAAGCTGTTGACTCTTTTTGAAATAGTTCAGTTTCAACAGAAAGCAGTGTGGCATAGGAAGAGGGAAAAAAAGCTGGATCCAGAATCAGAAGCCCTGGATGTAAATCCTAGCTATGCCATTTACTAGCTATAAAACCTCAGGCAACTTAATCTGTTATGTGTGTCCATTTCCCCACCTCAAAGGACTGAGATAAAGGGGAGAAGAATTTGCACAGAGCCTAACACACGACAAGTACTCAACGAATGTTAATTTTCTTCTATTGACTCTGTCCTCTACTCCCCTTCTTCCTCCTTCCACTTATGTGATCTTCAGTCTTTCTTTTGACCATGTTCAGTTATGCTTTTTACTACATTTTAAAACTCAGAAATAGAGCAAGTAAGATTTAAGTATCCCTGTTACCTCAGAAGGCTTTAAAATTAATTGGCAGACTGTAACTACCAAGTTAACAGCATAATCCAAATAAATTTTAGTTTTTAAAAAATAGAACATTCCTCATTTTGTGTTGTCTGATGTTTCCTTGTGGCTAGATTGAGTTTATGCGGTCTCACAAGAACACAGGTGATATCATGTCATTCTCGGAGTATCACATCAGGAAGCACATGATGTCCATCTGTCCCTCATTGGTGATATTCTGATCCCACTTTATAATTACTTCCCCCACCCTGTCCCTTTGCCACCAGTAAGCAATTTATAGGGAGACACTTTAAGATCATGCAAATATCTTGCTCCTCATCTAATTTTCTTCCTGTAAAATGGAAAAGCCCAGCAGAAACCACTGTTACCAGGTTATCAAAGTCAGTATCACCAGGAATAACACTGACATCAAGAGCTCAGTGATTTGATACACTAAAAAGGGCATGGTACCATTTCTGTGGTCCTTATGCCAGGGATACAAGACATTGGTCCAATCATGAGACACCACCAAACAGGCCCTAAATGAGACACATTCAGCAAAACAACTAATCAATACTCCTCAGGGCTATCATGATCAACAGAGATAAGGAAAGACTGAGAACTATTGCAGAGTGTAGGAAATCAGGGGGAAATGACAACTAAGAGCAATGTAGGATGCTGAGTGGGATCCTGGAACATAAAGAGAACATTAGTGAAATAATTACTGGGGAGAGTTGGAATAAGGTTCTTAGCTTCATTAATTGTATCGTATCAATGTTTTTAAAGTCCCCCTGGATTTAACATCCATTGGTATTTCTTGTCTGGTTCAATCTTTACCATTACAATTGCAAAGGAATGATTTTCCAACTCCTGCACTGTAAGCAAGAGAACTCCTTTCTACCCATGTATTCATTTACTTACTTTACTTACCTTAGAGACAGAGTCTTCTTTGTCACCCTGGCTGGACTGCAGTGGCACAGTCATAGCTCACTATAACTTGAAACTCCTGGGCTCAAGCAATTCTCCTGCCTCAGCAACCCTCCAGTTAGCTAGGAATACAAGCGTGTGCTGATATGCCATGCTAATTTTTTAAATTATTTTTTTGTAGAGGTGGGTTCTCACTATGTTGTCCAAGCTGGTCTCAAACTCCTGGACTCAAGTGATCCTCCGTCCTCGAACTCCCAAAGTAATTTATTTATTAATTATGAGTATGGACTTATAAATCTCTGTATTTTTCAATGGTTCATTATTGAACTTATTTTGATGCTCAAATAGTCCCAGATTTGGCCAAAGGGAAACCCTTCAAGCTGGCTCTTCTGTCTTTGTGACACGCCCCCACTGTCTTTTTTGAGCACTTCTTTACTTTCTGGTATAGCAAGATGTTCCAGGTTCATCTTGTATCCATCCTGCCCACGCATAAACTTATCCGTTTCTCTGAAGAGCCCTGGTTCCCTTGAGTGAGGAATGGTTATGAAACAGCAAAGATCTAGGTGATGGGTGTGTTTGTTGTTACTAAGGCATCTTTTTAAAATTTATTTATTTATTTTTTTATAGAGACAGGATTTGACCACGTTGCCCAAACTGGTCTTGAACTCCCGGACTCAAGTGATCCACCCACGCAGTTTCCCAAAGTGTTGGGATTACAGGCGTGAGCCACCGCACCGAGCAACTATGGCATCTTTGCTTCATGGTTCTTTCATTGGAGAGAGCCAGGAAATGTATGCATGTTTATACACATAAAAATATACATGGGGCCAGGCATGGTGGCTCCTGCCTGTAATCCCAGCACTTTGTGAGGCCAAGGCAGGTGGATCACTATCTTTTATTTTATTTTTCTCTTATTATGAGTGAAGTTGAGCATATTTTCTTATGTTTAAGGCCATTTTTATATATCTTTTAGTGATTATTCTCATGTTTTTTGCCTTTTTAAAATACAGTTTATCTTCCCCCCCCCCCCCACAAGTTATTTATGAATTAGGGATATTAATCCTTTTTCTGTGATACGTTACAAATATTTTTTCCCAGTTTGCCATTTGTCTTTTGACTCTGCTTATGGTATTTCTGGCCACACAAACTTTTTAACTTATATGTAGACAAACTTATCTTTTCTTGCATCTATACTTTGTATGACAGTTAGAAAGCTTTTCACTGCACTGAGCTTAAAGAGAAATTCATCCATGTTTTCTTCTAACATATACTTATTTATTTATTTATTTATTTATTTATTTATTTTTAAGAGACAGAGTCTCACTTTCACCCGTTGAAGTGCAGTGGCACAATCATAGCTCACTGTAATCTGAACCTCGTGGCTCAAGCGATCTTCCCACCTCAGCCTCCCAAAGTGCTGGGATTACAGGGATAAGCCCCTGTGCCCAGCCCTAACATTTATTTAGATTTGTTTTTTACATTTAAATTTCTGATTCATTTGGAGCTTTCTCTTGAATATGAGAAACACATCTAATTTCATCTATTTTTTCCAAATGTCCATCCAGTTGTTCCAATATCATTTGTCAAAGATTATCTTTATTTCAGTGTTTTAAGATGTAATTTTATTATATACTAGATTTTACTTGTAGTTGGGTCTATTTTGAGACTTTCCATTCTTATGCATTACCTATTCTATTCTTTGTATCCTATTCCGTTTCTGTTTATCTACTCATGTACCAGTACTGCACTCTTATTTATAAAAGTTTTTGTGGTGTTTAGTCTCTGCTATGGTTAATCCTCTCTCAGAGCTCTTTTCAGCTTTTCCCTAACTATCCCTGTGTGTACAATTTGCTATATGAATTTTGCAGTCAACTTATATATATAGCTCAATGGGATTTTTACTGGTATTAAATTGATAAATTAACTTTGGAAGAATTGACATTTTCGTGATGTTGAGACTCCCCAATCAAGAACAGGGGATATCTTCTTAGTTTTCTACTTTGTCCTTCAGAAGTGTTTCATAGTTTTTTTTCGCATGGGTTTTGGACATTTCTCAGGTTTATTCCTGTTTTAACTTTTCTGTTGCTATTGTAAATGGGGCCCAGGCTGGAGTACAGTGGCGTGATCTCAGCTCACTGCAACTTCCACCTCCCGGGTTCAAGCAATTCTCCTGCCTCAGCCTCCTGAGTAGCTGAGACTACAGGCGTGCACCACCACGCCCAGCTAATTTTTCTATTTTTAGTAGAGTTGAGGTTTCACCATGTTGGCCAGGCTAGTTTAGAACTCCTCACCTCAGGTGATCCGCCTGCCTTGGCCTCCCAAAGTGCTGGGATTACAGGCGTGAGCTAACTGGCTATTATGTATGAATGCTACTGATTTTTGCATATTAATTTTATATTCTGCTACCTTGATGAATTCGTTTATAGATGGTTTTATCACAGATTCTCCAGGGTTTTCCAGGTATACTATCATGCCATCTACAAAGAGAGACGTTTTATATTTTCTTTTTTTTTTTTTTAGATGGAATCTCACTTTGTTTACCCAGGTTGAAGTGCAATGGTGCAATCTGGGCTCACTGCAACCTCCACCTCCCAGGTTCAAGTGATTCTTCTGCCTCAGCCTCCCGAGTAGCTGGGATTACAGGCACACACCACCACGCCCAGCTAATTTTTATATTTTTAGTAGAGAAGGGGTTTCACCATGTTGGCCAGGCTGGTTTCGAACTCCTGACCTCAAGTGATCTGCCCACCTTGGCCTCCCAAAGCGTTGGGATTATGGGTGTGAGCCACTGCACTCAGCCTTTATTTTTCCATTATTATGCCTGTGATTGTTTTCTCTAGGTTAAATGCATAGGCTAGCCAATCAGAACATTATATAGTAATGGAGACAGTAGGCATCATTGCTTTGTTCCCGGCCTTAGAGGAAATGTCTCTATGGTTTCCCACTAAGATGCTGACTCTAGAATTTAGATATATACATTTTATGATGTAAAGGAAACAGCCACCCATTCTGATTTTTCTCAAGCTTTTATTAGGAATGAGTGTTGAATTTTGTCAAAGGCTTTCTCTGATCCATGAAGATAATCGTATAATCTTTATAGTAATATACTTTCAAATACTGAACCAACCTTGTATTCCTGCTATTAAATCCCACTTGATCATGGTGTACTTTTTTTAAATGTGGTGTTGCAATCTGTCCCCTAATATTTAAGACTTTTATATCAATATTCGTAAGTTACATTAGTCTATATCCTCTTTTTTCTATGCTATCTTTATGAGGTTTAAGGTTATACCTGATAAAGATAGCATAAAAAAATCAATGTTATATTTGTTTAATTCAATGTTATACTTGCTTCATTCAAAGAACTTGGAAGTTTTCCTTTATTATTTATGCTCTAAAACAATTTATGTAGCATTAGGACTATCTACCTGATCTCTAAAGGTTTGACAGAAGTTTCCTGCCAATCTATCTGGGCCTGGTGTTTTTGTACGAAGTAGTTCCTTCATAACTTTCTCTTTTCTTCTATGGAAACTGGTCTGCTTAAGCTTTCCATCTCAAATTGGCTCAATTTTATTAAACTGTACGTGCCTAAGAAATTATCCATTTCCTCTAGGTTTTCAAATTTATTTGCACAGGAATCTACTGTAGTCTCACAGTATTTTTTGAGATTTTCTCTGTATTAACAGTATTTCTCCCTTGTCATTTCTCATTTTGTGCATGTTTTTACTCCACTGTTTTGATTATTATATTAATTAATGGTGTTTTTTTCCCCCACAAAGAACCAAGATTTTGATTAATTTGATCCACTATTTTTCTGTTCTCTACTTTATTAATTTCCACTTTTATCTTTAGTAGTTTCTTGTGTTTTTTTGTTGTTGTTTACTTTCTCTTTTTTCTAGGTTTTTGAGTTGGGAATTTATTTATTTTCATTATTTCATTTGTATTGATTTCATTATTTCATTTGTTAAACACTTGTTTTTAACATTATTCCATGGATTTTTAACATGTAGTATTTTTGTTATCTGTAATTATTCTTCAAAAATCCTGTAATTTGTTTGTATCTCTTTTCCTCCAAGAGTTATTTAGAAGGTATTTTTTTATTTTTATATATATATATATTTTTATTATACTTTAAGTTCTAGGGTACATGTGCACAACATGCAGGTTTGTTACATATGCGTACATGTGCCATGTTGGTGTGCTGCACCCATTAACTCGTCATTTACATTAGGTGTATCTCCTAATGCTATCCCTCCCCCCTCCCCTCACTCCACAACAGGCCCCGGTGTGTGATGTTCCCATTCCCGTGTCCAAGTGTTCTCACTGTTCAATTCCCACCTATGAGTGAGAACATGTGGGGTTTGGTTTTTTTGTCCTTGCGATAGTTTGCTGAGAATGATGGCTTCCAGCTTCATCCATGTCCCTACAAAGGACATGAACTCATCATTTTTTATGGCTGCATAGTATTCCATGGTGTAGATGTGCCACATTTTCTTAATCCAGTCTATCATTGTTGGACACTTGGGTTGGTTCCAAGTCTTTGCTATTGTGAATAGTGCCGCAATAAACATACGTGTGAATGTGTCTTTATAGCAGCATGATTTACAGTCCTTTGGGTATATACCCAGTAATGGGATCACTGGGTCAAATGGTATTTCTAGTTCTAGATCCCTGAGAAATCGCCACACTGTCTTCCACAATGGTTGAATAGAAGGTATTTTAATTTCCAAGTAAAAGTGTCTTTGCTTTTTGACTTTTAGTTTCGGTTTTCATTTCCAGTTTTATTGCATTGTGATCACAGAGAATAGTTTGTAATAATTCTACCTTATGGGACCTACCCATGTTTTCTTTGTGCTCTAGTATATGACATGTGATTAATTTTTATGAACATTCTATGTGTTTAAGAAGATAATATATTCTTATCAAAGTTCTCTGCATATATTTTAAATATTCTTTATATTTTCCACCTCTTTACAATCTGTGCTTTATTTAGTTATCCTCAGCTCTGTATTCCACTTTACTAATTTTCTCTTTAGCAATGTTTTGTCTACTGTTAAACCACCTACTGAGGTTTTCATTTCAAGAAGTTGTCTTTCATTGTTTTCTAAATCCATCCCTTATTTTGTGAGTTCTATTCCTTCATTTACATCTTCAAATATTTTAAATACTAGGTCAGGCAGAGTGGCTCACACGTGTAATCCCGGCACTGTGGGAGGCTGAGGTGGGTGGATTGCTTGAGCTCAGGAGTTCAAGACCAGCCTGGAAAGCATGGCGAAACCCCATCTCTGCTAAAAATACAAAAATTAGTCGGACATGGTGGCACATGCTTGTACTCCCAGCTACTCAGGAGGCTGAGGTGGGAGGATCGCATGAGCCCAGGAGGTTGAGGCTGCAGTGTGCCGAGATCGCCCCACTGCACTCCAGCCTGTGCAAGGGTGAGATCCCACCTTTAAATAAATAAAGTTAAATACTGTATTAAGTATTTGTGTTAAATAATTAAAGATTTTTTTCAGATTGCTCTAAATCCTTGAATATGAATTTTCCCATTTCTGTTTGAGTCTTTCTTGCCACAGGACTTCTTTATGTGTTTTATAATTTTTTACTCTGAGTTCATCTTCTGTGGGACATTTTATCAAATGAACTGCCTGCATATATTACTGACATGCTTAACAAATTTGTAGAGGATAAAAAGCTGATTAATACGGTCAGCAGAATCATACAAAATGATCTTGATGGAGTAAAACAAGATGAATCTAAAAAAGGTGACAGTTAACAGATATAAAGTTTGTTGTTTTGGTAGTTGTTTTTAGAAACTGGGTCTCACTATGTTGCCTAAGCTGATCTCGAACTCCTGGCCTAAAGGAATCCTCCCAAAGTGCTGGGACTACAGGTGTAAGTCACCATGCCTGGCCTATATATAGTTTTTAACATGGATTCTAAAAGGACTTCAGAGATAAAGGAAACTTAGCAACTTATCAACATATACAAAAATAAATATAAGAGCAATGAGACTACAATATAATGTTGCTGCCAAAAAGCTGATTTTGCATTAATGGAAAAATGAGGGAAATATTAGCATTACTCTATCCTAGAGTCAGAAAACATCTGGAACACTGTCTTCAATTTGACAGTGTTCACGCCTTCAATTTGAGGCATGAAACTTTAAATAAATAATTTAAATGCTAGTTTCAATCAAATCTTGTCTATAGAATGATTCAAGTTACAACTCATGCAACAAGTCATCTCAAAAAATAGCTATAAAGGCAATCTTGGATAATTTCAAAGAAAAAAAAATCAAAGAGCAACACTGCATCAATTCCTAGTTAGTATGTCAGATAACACACACTAAGATGCACCTTCCTTCAATAACTACAACATTAACACAAAGAAATTCCCTTAAAAACATAATACTCATCAATTGACAGAAAAAGGAAAAAAATCCCATGATACTCAATGTCTTTACTTGTTTGTACATATACCTTGAAGAGGGATTCTTTTCCAGGCAGGGACCTGGATAGGATGAGATCACTTATGGAAAAAGGAGCAGTATATCAGCTGAGAAAGAACATTAGGGAGAAGAAACAGCCTAACATATAAGGCAATTACTATCCCATTTTATAATCCTACACTTATAGTGAAAACAGAGGCCCTAATTTTTACTAATAATTTCAAAATATTTTGCCGCTTATAAACTTAATTTCTTTACGGAAAAATACAGAGAAGCATCAAAATGCAAAACTAATGTCTCAATCAGTAACTATAGTCTGGATATTATCATCAAATAGGATTGTTCTGAGGACCATAAAAGTATACTAATTGCTTTTATAAATACAGTTGTAAAAGCATTCTATTCTTAAACTATTTCAGGTTTAAACTTGGTCACAAATGCCCTCAAGTAGTCTATTTCTCTCATTCCCTCACCCCAATTTCTTTACATCTATAAATTATTATTAAATAAATCCTTGTCTCCTACAGTGAATGGGGAGTAGATGAAGAAGCAGCGTAATTTTTCTTTCTCACATGTCCTTTGAATGTGTCATCATGCCTGACATTTACTTTTAGCAGAACATGCTTCCTAATACTCACATCACCTTCTCTCAGGGTTTGAAGAAATTCTTGCAGTTTGTCTGCTGTTTTTTCTGCTGCTAGAGATAAAATCTTCTGGTCCATTGTTGCTCATATCACAGAACTACAAGGGAAAAACGTCAGAGGTGGGTGAAGATTCCAGAAATAAACAAACTTGATTTGTTTTCCTTCCCTGTTAACTGAATATTTCATACCTATTATGCAATGGGTGCTCAACAAACTTAGGACTATCTTTAAGTAGCTGATTCTTTTTTCTTCTTCTTCTTAAGCTCAGTGGCAAGATGATTCTTAACCTAACCAAAATAATCCTGAAAATTCCCTGGAATTGCCTTATTAGGAATCTGTATTCTAATCAAGTGGTTTCATAATTTTTGCCCACACTTGTTACCATCTACTCACCATACTACCTAGAACAAAGCTTCCATTTAACAGCATATCAAGTATGTAATACATTATATATTACCATAAGCATGTAATAAAGTATTTGACAAATAAATGAATAAACCAATAGCACTATAAATGCTATGTGCCAATTAAATGGTATAAAAACAAGTGAGAAGGGGAGCCCAAGAGTGTGAGGCTGCAGTGAGCTATGATCATGCCACAGTACTCCAGCCTAGGCAACAAGGTAAGACCCTGTCTCTTAAAAAAAAAAAAAAAAAGAGGCCGGCACCGTGGCTCATGCCTGTAATCCCAGCACTTTGGGAGGCTGAGGAGGGCAGATCACGAAGTCAGGAGATCGAGACCATTTTGGCTAACACGGTGAAACCCCCGTCTCTACCAAAAATACAAAAAAAAATTAGCTGGGCGTGGTGGCGGGCGCCTATAGTCCCAGCTACTCGGGAGGCTGAGGCAGGAGAATGGCGTGAACCCGGGAGGAGGAGCTTGCAGTGAGCGGAGATCACGCCACTGCACTCCAGCCTGGGCGACAGAGCGAGGCTCTGTCTCAAAAAAAAAAAAAAAAAAAAGAAAGGAAGAAAGAAAGAAAGAAAAGCTGAGAAGTTAACAAGGTAAAAGATGTAACTGTGTTCTTAAATGTCAAGGTTTCGCAGCAGAGGAAAGCTTGAACTGGAACTTAGAGATTAAATATAGGTAGTCCAGACAACCAGGTTGTATACATTATGGAGAAGGGTATCATGAACAAAGGCATTCATACGGGAAATGAGAAATTTCTTTGGGGGAAAATGAGTAAAATGGCTGAGGTAGAATCCAAGTAGGAAAATAGTGAGTAGGAAGTCTGGAAAGATAGGCTGGAAGTAAACAGGTTAAGGAATTTAGATTCTATTTCGTAAATTACTGAGAACCATTAAAAAATTTGAGCAAAAGACAATCTCACAAGATTGCAAGTGTTTGAGGAAACAGAACCTAGCATCTTTGTGCAGATTAAAGTGGGGAGAAGGTAAGAAGAAACAGCAAATGCTAAGAGACCATTTGGAAGTTATTTTAGTGGAAATGATAAAGACCTGTACTAGGGTGGTGACTGGAGAACAGAAAAGATGGGATGAAATGGAGGCACATGAAGCAGATAGAATTCAGTGAGTAGCTATGAAAATAGAAGGGGGAAGTACAGCCTAGTAGAAAGAAAATCTGTTCCTCCTCTTCTTCCTCCTGTGTTTCCCGTCTCCATAAATGGTACCATCATCCACTCAGCTGCTCAGACCAGAAACCTAGGTAACATTCTTAACAACTTTGCCTTCATCCTTCACCACATCCATTACCAAGTCCTGTCAATGTTACCTACTAAATATCTCCCAAATCTGTCTACTTTTCTCCATCTCCACTACTGACACATTACCCCAAGCCACCACCATCTCTCACCTGAACTACTGCAATCGTTTCCTAACTTGTTCCCTTCTACGCAGCAACTAAAGTGATGTTTTTGAAACACAAACCTGATTATGTGACTTATCTTCCCTCCATGCCATCCTCATCTTAAAGCTCTTCAGTGGCTTCCATTGCTTTATCAGTCCAAAACCCTTAAGTAAGGATAAAATAAGTCCTGCAAGTTCTGACCCATGCCTACCTCCCTTTCATCACTCTGCTCCAGCCATGCAGAATTGCTTCCAGTCCTTCAAATCTCCAAGTTCTTTCTGCCACAGGCCCTTCCACATGTTTCCATCTGGAACTTAAATAAATATTCCTGCTTCCATCCACTGCCCCCCAATCTTTTATTACTAATTCCTACAAATCCTTCAGATCTTAGCTCAATCCACATCTCCTCAAAAGCTCAGTCTAGGCCAGGCGCAGTAGCTCACGCCTGTAATCTCAGCACTTTGGGAGGCCAAGGCGGGCGGATCACTAGGTCAAGACATCCAGACCTTCCTGGCCAAGATGGTGAAACCCCGTCTCTACTAAAAATACAAAAAAAAAAAAAAAAAAAAAAAAAAAAAAAAAAAATAGCTGGGCGTGACGGCACGCACCTGTAGTCCCAGCTACTTGTGAGGCTGAGGCAGGAGAATCACTTGAACTCAGGAGGCGGAGGTTGCAGTGAGCCGAGATCGCGCCACTGCACTCCAGCCTGGCAACAGAGGGAGACTCTGTCTCAAAAAAAAAAGAAAAGAAAAGAAAAGAAAAGCTCAGTATAGGTTGTTAAACGTTCCCCTAGTACATCCTCTCATGGCACCAGTAAACTCTCTTACATACTGTCACCAATTTTTAATATTACATGTGTAATTATCAGATTAACAAATGTTATCTCCCACTAGACTATAAGTCCCCTAAGGACACGGGCCGTAGCTGGTTTTGTTTATCATTGTATCTCCAGCACTTAGCACAGTACCTAGCTCAAACTAGGTAACAAATGTTTGTTGAACAAATTATTGAACCCCTATAATAGGGAAAACACTGAACCCAGCACTTTACATTCATTAACATGACTCCCACAACACCACCTACTAGGTAGGTGTAATATTAGCCCCATTTTAGATGAACAACTTTTGGGATTCAGAGATTAGGGAATTTCCCCCAAGATTAGAAGGCTACCAAGTGGCAGAGAGAGAAGTGAAACCCGAGTCTGTCCAGCTCCGGACTCCAAGATCCCATGCTTTGAACTACCGGATGCAAACAGGACACACCAACCTAAAAAGGTGTCCAGCCAGAAGGGGCAGGCGGCTTCGGAGGGGGATACGTTTAAATCAACCTAGGCACATTTGCTAAAATCATCCTAAAACCAGAGGTAAGACCAGAGGCGGGTGGCTGTGAATTCCCTGAACGCGAAGTAGATTCCTTGCCAAGAGACGCTGGGGAGCATCAGAGATCTGAAGCCAAGATCCGAGAATGGCAGAGCCCCGCCGGCGGGAAACGCCGCGGCCTTCCCTTCCGGGTTCTTCAGTTAACAAGCCGTGAGCGCAAATACAAAAACTATAACACGAAGCAGCTGGTGATGGAGACCGCGACCGGACAACAAATGCAAAGCAAGGTTAAGGGAAATTTCTCAGAAGTAAGAGCTCACCCTCGGCCAAGGGGGAAGAATTTAACAGAAGGGGCTCCGACTGAGGCACACCCCTAGGAGGGAACCGCGAAAGCTGAGGCAGGCGGCGGGAGACAGCGGAGCGCGCCTACTTTCCACGCCAGAGAAAATACCAGAACGCCAAGTCAGGACAGGAGCCTCCTTTCCCCCACAGAACCGCTCCCTCCCAGGGGCCCAGTCCCACAGCCCGAGCACCTCGCGAGCCGCTCTGCAGTCACCTCGGCCTCACCTCCGCCACAAACTTCCAAAAAGCCCGCTCAACCCAACGCCGCCACACTTCCGTTACCCGTAACAACAAGATCCGCCCCCGCGGCTCACTTCCGCCGTCCGGGTACCTGCGGGCGGGGTGTACCATGAAGACTGAAGGGGTGCCGGGAAGCGTGCGGGAGCGTCCCAGCTCACAGTCGGAGGGGGGCGCTGCCTGTCCGAACTCGCGCTAGGGACCGCCGATGAGCACGCGCGGTGGGACCTGAGCGTGCCCAGCGCGGTGTCCCGACAGGTTCAGCTTCCCTCCTGTCCTGTTGAGGGAGTAGTCAGTGCGGGAGGGGACTCACAATTGGTGGCCCCGCAGGTCTTGGCACTGGAAAAGCCTGGAAGGCAGAGGCGGATTTCATACTCCACCTTGTGCCAAGGGACGGTAACCCCTCAGATGTAAGCCCCCTGTGGCTAGGGGTCTTAATGGACTTTTGGGAGTTGTGGTTTTTGTTTGTTCTCTGTTTTGTTTTGTTTTGCGCTCCCCTTGCGTAACCCCAGCGTTTATTGCATAGCCTGGCAAAAGCAGCGAATATTTGTTAAATGAACAACTGACAGTGGGGCGAAGACCGACAGAGGGTGGGCCGAGATTCTATTTTGGGTTGAGGGAGCACCTTGCGCAAAGGGTCTGAGAGCAACGAGCAAGCAACAGAGCCCCTGGCCAGTTCAGAAGGCGAAGGTGCTCGGTGGGAGTGGGAAGGCAGGGGTTTCTAACTCCTTTTCATATTGGGGGCAGTGGGGAACCGCTGAAGGGGAAGGACATGACTGTGTTCGCATTGTAGACTGCTGTCTCGGGCAGGTGAGGACCGCAGAAACTGTTGAAAAGAGATGAGCCAGGTGGGGCGGACCGAAGGCAGGACCCCCCTTAGAAGACTGTAAGTTGTCCCAAAGATAGGTGGTGGTGGCCCAACCTTGGCAATGGGGACAGAAAGGAGTGGACCGCATGTGAAAGAGATTAGGAGGTAGAGATTTAGGAAGCCCAAATATCCGGATTTGAGGGGGTGTGGGCGTTGTTGAGGAATGTTCAGGCTTGAGCGACTGGGGTTGGGGGGCGGGGAGTTAATCCTGCAGTTGACTAACACAGGGAGCACAGGAAAAGGATGATGGGGTGATGATGAGCCCTTCAGAGTTGGACGCACCAAATTTGAGGTGCCTGTGGGATGGCAAGTGAAGGAATGCTAAGATCAGGGAGCATTTCAGTCTGGAACCTGACTCGACTCCCAGCCCTCGGGGGTAGAACGGGTCTACATGGCCAGTTATTGAAGAAACAGAGCTATTGGAGGAGAATGGTTCCTCTCAGCTGTCTAGACCTGCTCCTTGCTTGTGACCCTTCAGCATTTTTTTCCTTCTACATTTCTGTCCCAATACTGAGCTGTGATGTTTAACTAAAACACGGCAGCTTGAGGTAGAAGATGATTCCTGAAAGGAATCCTTTACCTTGCCAAGGAAGTAGATGACTTTGCCTCATCTCCCCACAAAATCTCCCAGGCTGCTTCTGGGATTCAGCCATGAATCTGTGGGTCTGGGTAGCTAGAACAAGCTCATTAGCCTCTCCGAGCCTCCACTGGCGCATCCCAGACGTACTTACTGAATTGCCTGTGTGTCTACCCACTGGCATTGATGCCTCAGGGTTCTTGTCTCCTCTTGTTGCACGAATGCATCATCTGTGTTTTCCATTTGCATTAATAAGTGTTACATATGCAAAAGAAGAGAAGAACAGATTCATTCAGATTAACAACAACGGTTTTTCACCCTGGTGCAGGCTTCCTTAACTAAGGAGCAAATCTTATCCGTCTGGTTCACTGACTAGACACTATACACTGAGAAGCTAGTGATACACTGATTCTAGAAAATACATCCAGTTAAAAACAGGTTTACAGTAATGGAACTAAATGTTCTTCAGACCTTGTCAATAGTACTTGTTTATCTTAACAACATTATAGCTACTAATATTTACAGGAGTCCAGAGAAAAAGTACAAATGGAAGCCCCTTACCATTCCCAACTCAGTCCTACAGTGTGAGGTCTCAGGCTTCCTATGCCTGCATGTGGACACCCAGCCTGAAGATCCACACCATGAGTCCCCCACAAAGCTGCCCTGTAGCCACCCTTTGGGTCTAGGGCTGTACATACTAGCAGGTCCACTCTAGGAAGGGTGGACCTAGGAAAAGGCCTATCTGGGCCCTGGAAGCAAATTTGAGGATGGTTAAGTAGGTACCTAGAGCATGATCTAAAGGAAGGTGGGTGGGCACATCCTCTGGACTCTGGGCAGAGGAAGACCAATAAGGCCCCCACCCCGCCCAAGAGCTCCAGTTGCTTGGGATTAAGGGCAGTGCTGCTTGAGAGAATGATCAAGGTAACACATATAAAGAGCCAAACTTAGAAGCACATGAAAGTGTTATTTCCTTCCAGCAAATAACTTTTGAAAAGTATTGAAAGCAGGATCTCAGAGAGATATTTGTATATCTGTGTTCACAGTAGTACTATTTACAATAATCAAAAGGTAGAAATAACACAAATGTCCCTCACTGTATGAATGGATAAAATGTGGGACATACGACTGGGTGCGGTGGCTCACACCTGTAATCCCAACACTTTGGGAGGCCGAGGCGGGCAGATCACGGGTCAGCAGATTGAGACCATCCTAGCCAACATGGTGAGACCCCATCTCTACTAAAAAAATACAAAAAATTAGCTGGGCATGGTGGTGCGTGCCTGTAGTCCCAGCTACTTAGGAGGTTGAGGCAGGGGAATTGCTTGAACCTGGGAGGCAGAGATTGCAGTGAGCTGAGATTGTGCCACTGCACTCCAACCTGGTGACAGAACGAGACTCTGTCTCAAAAAAAAAAAATTGTGGGACATACATACTATGGAATATTATCCAGCTTTAAAAGGAAGGAAATTCTGACACATGCTACAACATGGATGAACTTGAGAACATTATGCTAAAGTGAAATAAGCCAGTCACCAAAAGACAAATACTAATGTACGTGATTCCATTTATATAAGGTATCTCATCAAATTCATAGAAACAGGCCGGGCACAGTGGTTGACACCTGTAATCCCAGCACTTTGGGAGGCCAAGGCGGGTGGATCACCTGAGGTCAGTAGTTTGAGGCCAGCCTGGCCAAAATGGCAAAAGCCTATCTCTAGTAAAAATATAAAAATTAGCCAGGTGTGGTGATGGGCGCCTGTAGTCCCAGCCACTCAGGAGGCTGAGGCAGGAGAATTGCTTGAACCCGGGAGGCCAAGGTTGCAGTAAGCTGAGATCATGCCATTGCACTCCAGCCTGGGTGACAGAGCAAAACTCCATCTCAAAAAAAAAAAAAAAATTCATAGAAACAGAAAGAAGGATGGTGATTATGGGGCCTGGGGGGAGGGGCAATTAGTTATTACTTAATGGGTACCGAGTCTCAGTTTTGCAAGATGAAAAAGTTCTGGAGATGTGTTGTGTAACGGTGTGAATATACTTGACTTTACTGAACTATACACTTAGAAACCGTTAAGATGGTAAAAGAAACAAACACAGTACTACCTGGATAGCTCACAGGTTTGTTAAGGAGAACTGGTTTACTCCACCTGGAAGAAATTCCAGTTTGGTAGAGTTTGAGACAGAGGTTTACCTGCTCACTATTTATAGCACCAGTGTGTAGTAAAGTGCCTGGCATAAGGTAGTGCTTCATAAGGTTTTCGTTGTTGTTTGAGACGTGTTGGGAACAGGCCCCCAAATCTGGCCATAAACTGGCCCCAAAACTGGCCATAAACAAAATCTCTGCAGCACTGTGACATGCTCATGATGGCCATGACGCCCACACTGAAGGTTGTGGGTTTACCGGAATAAAGGCAAGGAAAACCTGGCCCACCCAGGGCGGAAAACCACTTAAAGGCGTTCCTAAGCCACAAACAATGGCATGAGTGATCTGTGCCTTAAGGACATGTTCCTGCTGCAGATAACTAGCCAGAGCCCATCCTTTATTTCCGGCCCATCCCTTTGTTTCCCATAAGGAATACTTTTAGTTAATCTACAATCTGTAGAAACAATGCTTATCACTGGCTTGCTGTCAATAAATACATGGGTCAAACTCTGTTCGGGGCTCTCAGCTCTGAAGGCTGTCAGCCCCCTGATTTCCCACTTCTCACTCTATGTTTATGTGTGTGTGTCTTTAATTCCTCTAGCGCTGCTGGGTTAGGGTCTCCACGACCGAGCTGGTCTCGGTAAGTGGTGCCCATACATGGGGCTCTATCCCAGGTCAAAGGGTCGCCAGAGCGACGGTTGGAGAATGTGGAATTAAGCTGGAGGACACCCGAGTACTCTTAAGCAATGCCCATGGTGAGTCAGAAAGGGAACACAGAAGCATCAGGGTAACAGTGGGACAAGTGTGGGCTCTGGTTTGTTCCACCTTGGAACCTTTTCACACTAATGATAAGGAAGGAAAGTATAACGAAGTAACAGAAGAGGTAACAGCAGGTTTGTTTGCCAGCTAAAGCTAAAGTGGCAAAGGAGGAAGAGGTTCATCCCTACCCTTCTGCACCCCCTCATTATTTTGAAGAAAAAGAGTGGCCTGACCCTCCAGATCTTTCTTTTCTAGAGGACACTGGGTGAAAAGTAGTTGCCCCAGTGACTGTTAAAGCAGTTCCTTGAGCAACCGCTCTCAGTTCTATTCAGGCAGGAATTCAGCAAGCTAGATGAGAGGGTGATATAGAGGCTTGGCAGTTCCCTGTTAGGATACACCCCCTAGATCAATAGGGAAATATTATAGCTATATTTGAGCCTTTTCCTTTTAAATTACTCAAAGAATTTAAACAAGCTATTAATCAATATGAGCCAGGTCTATGCCCGAAGTGTAAAAAAGGAAAACATTGGGCTAATCAATGTCACTCTAAGTTTGATAAAGATGGGAACCCAATTTAGGAAACG
This sequence comes from Homo sapiens, assembly GCF_000001405.40. Taxonomy (NCBI): domain Eukaryota; kingdom Metazoa; phylum Chordata; class Mammalia; order Primates; family Hominidae; genus Homo; species Homo sapiens. Next base: position 89,239,093 of record NC_000015.10, on the reverse strand, counting down.
CCATGAGGGGCCTGTCCCGGGCCGTGTTCCAACCTGGGGCAGTTCTGGCTCAGGCCACTCCTTCACCCCTGTACAATGTCTGTCCCCCGCCACAGCTGGTAGTGCCGCAGTAGATTTGTGCTGCACAAAAGCTGTGAGTCTGCCTGGGGAACCCCTGCAAAAAGTTCCAACAGGGGTCTGTGGACCCTTGCCAGCAGGGAGGATAGGATTACTTCTAGGTAGATCTAGTTTAAATTTAAAAGGACAGCAAGTACATATGGGAGTCATTGATTCAGATAGCAATGGGGAAATTCAGATTGTTATATCCACTTCTGTTCCCTGGAAAGCAGAGCCAGGAGAGAGCATAGCACAGCTCCTGATTGTGCCGTATGTGGAAATGGGGAAAAGTGAAATTAAACGAACGGGAGGATTTGGAAGCACAAATAAACAAGGCAAAGCAGCTTTTTGGGTGAATCAAATTACTGATGAACGTCCTACCTGTGAAATAACTACTCAGGGAAAGAAATTTAAAGGTTTGATAGATACAGGAGCAGACATTTCAATCATTTCTCTATGGCACTGGCCATCTGCATGGCCAATTCAACCCGCTCAATTTAACATAGTTGGAGGTGGTAAAGCCTCTGAAGTATATCAAAGTAGTTATATTTTGCATTATGAAGGGCCCGATGGACAACCTGGGACTATTCAATCAATTGTAACTTCTGTACCTAAAAATTTATGGGGAAGAGATTACAACAATGGGGAGCACAAGTTCTAATTCCAGAGCAATTATATAGCCCTCAAAGTCAACATATGATGCATGAAATGGGGTATGTCCTTGGTATGGGACTAGAAAAAAATTTGCAAGGTTTGAAGGAACTGCTTCAAATGGAAAGACAAAGTTCCCGCCAAGGTTTAGTGTATCATTTTTGATGGCAGCCATTGTTAAGCCTCCAGAACCTATACCTTTAAAATGGTTAACAGATAAGCCAATTTGGATAGAACAATGGCCACTGAGTAAAGAGAAACTGGAGGCTTTAGCAGACTTAGTTACTGAACAATTAGAAAAAGGACACATAGCTCCCAACATTTTCCCCTTGGAATTCTCTAGTTTTTGTAATTAAGAAAAAATCAGGTAAATGGAGAATGTTAACTGACTTAAGGGCCATTAATTCAGTTATACAACCTATGGGGACATTACAGCCAGGACTGCCTTCTCCTGCTATGATTCAAAAAAATTGGCCTTTAATAGTCATAGATTTAAAAGACTGTTTCTTTACTATCCCCTTAGCTGAGCAAGACTGTGAATGGTTTGCATTTACAATACCTGTGGTAAACAACCTGCAACCTGCTAAGTGTTTTCATTGGAAAGTTTTGCCACAAGTCATGTTAAACAGTCCAACAATTTGCCAGACTTATGTAGTGCAAGCAATTAAACCTACTCATAAAAAATTTTCAGTGTTACATTATTCATTATATGGATGATACACTTTGTGCTGCCCCTACTCGAGAAATATTACTCCAATGTTACGATCACTTGCAAAATTTGATTTCTTGCCCTGGTTTAATTATAGCTCCTGACAAAATTCAGACTACTACTCCTTACTCCTACTTGGGGACCTTAGTAAATGATACTACCATTGTGCCACAGAAAGTAACCATACGTAGAAATCAACTGAAAACATTAAATGACTTCCAAAAATTACTAGGGGACAGTAATTGGATACAACCTGCTCTAGGCATTCCTACCTATGCCATGAGTAAACTATTTTCTATCCTTAGAGGAGATCCTAGTCTCACTAGCCCTTGGCAATTAACAAAGGAGGCCGAGGCAGAGTTACAGCTGCTTGAAAAGCAAGTGCATAAGACTCGAATAAATAGAATAGATCCAGAAAAGACTCTAAATTTGCTAATTTTTTCAATTCAGCATTCACCTACTGGTGTTACTGTCCAAGAGCAGGACTTAGTAGAATGGCTTTGTCTTCCACATACTAATTCATGGACTCTAACTCCTTATTTGGATCAAATTGCTACTATGATAGGAAATGGGAGAACTCAGGTTGTTAAATTACATGGATATGATCCTGGAAAAGTTATTGTCCCTCTCACAAAGGCACAAATACAGCAAACTTTTTTTTTTTTTGAGACGGAGTCTCACTCTATCACCCAGGCTGGAGTGCAGTGGTGCAATCTCGGCTCACTGCAAGCTCCGCCTCCCAGGTTCACGCCATTCTCCTGCCTCAGCCTCCCGAGTAGCTGGGACTACAGGTGCCCGCCACCATACCCAGCTATTTTTTTTTTTTTTTTTTTGTATTTTTAGTAGAGACGGGGTTTCACTGTGTTAGCCAGGATGGTGTCAATCTCCTGACCTCGTGATCCGCCCACCTCAGCCTCCCAAAGTGCTGGGATAACAGGCGTGAGCCACCGCGCCTGGCCAGCAAACTTTTATAAATAGTCTTACTTGGCAAACTCATTTAGCTGATTTCATGGGTGTTCTTGATAATCATTTTCTGAAAACAAAATTATTTCAATTTTTGAAAGTAACTAATTGGATTTTCCCTAAAATAAGTAATTTAAACCAATTGAAAGTGCTGAAAATGTCTTCACAGATGGGTCTAGCAATGGTAAAGCTTCTTATTCTGGCTCAAAAGGTAAAGTTTTTCAGACGCCCTATACTTCAGCTCAAAAAGTCAAGCTTGTAGCTGTAATTGAGGTATTGACTGCTTTTGATATGCCTATTAATGTGATTTCTGATTCTTCACACGTGGTTCATTCCACACAATTAATTGAAAATGCTCAGTTACGATTTCATACAGATGAGCAACTGATGACTTTATTTACCCAATTACAAACAGCAGTTAGGAGTAGAATGCACCCTTTTTACATCACTCACATTAGGGCTCATACACCTCTTCCAGGACCTTTAACTGAAGGGAATCAAATGGCTGATCACTTAGTTGCTACTGCAATATCTAATGCTAGACACTGTCACAATTTAACCCATGTTAATGCCTCTGGTCTCAAACGCAGATACAGCATTACCTGGAAAGAAGCTAAAGCTATTATCCAATGATGCCCAACTTGCCAAATGGTACATTCCTCATCTTGCATAGGAGGAGTTAATCCTTGAGGATTGGAACCTAATTCTCTTTGGCAAATGGAAGTCACACATGTTCCCTCCTTTGGGAGACTAGCTTATGTACATGTATGTGTGGACACCTTTTCTCACTTTGTCTGGGCTACATGCCAATCAGGAGAGTCTTCTGCCTGTGTTAAATGTCACCTTTTGCAGTGTTTTGCAGTGATGGGCATTCCAGCTTCTATTAAAACAGATAATGCCCCAGGCTATACTCGCCAAGCTCTAGCTACATTTTTCTCTATATAGAATATTAAACACATTACTGGCATCCCATATAATTCTTGAGGAGAAGCCATAGTAGAAAGAACGAATCTCTCCCTGAAACGACAATTGCAAAAGCAGACTGATGGAAACAGGGACTACGGAATACCCCATATGCAATTGACTCTAGCATTATGGACTTTAAATTTTTTGAGCCTGCCTAAAAGCCAGATGCTATCAGCAGCTGAACAGCATCTACAGAAACCAGCTACAAAGACAGAAGCAGAACAACTGGTTTGGTGAAGAGATCCGATAACAAAAAATTTGGAAATAGGTAAAATAATAACTTGGGGTAGAGGTTATGCTTGTGTTTCTCCAGGCCAGAATCAATAGCCAAGTTGGATATCATCAAGACACCTGAAACCTTATCATGAGCCAGATGCCGAGGAAGAGATTCCGGGAGGATCCCGAGGATCCCCTGGTTGCAGCCATGTCAAGACTGATGCTGAGGAGGACCCCAACTGTCACGAGCAACACCTGTTGAACTGAGCCACCTACCTGGGGACAGATCAAGAAGCTGTCACAGATGGTGGACGAAAACCTGAGGAAAGCGGGACAGCCAGTCACAATGAGTAATTTTATGATAGCGGTGATCACCATTGCCATGAGTATTCCTTCAACAAGGACTGACACAGAGAACAATTATACTTATTGGGCATATTTATCAATCTTGGCTGGCAGTAATGCCTGGATGTAATCACTCTATGACATAGTTACACATGCTTTCTGATCTCAGTATTTACCATAATAAATTGGCTCCTATAATTGAGGCATACCGCCCTCAAAAACCTATTTGTAAACAGAATTGGACCTGGCCAGAAATAATTAATGTACTTGTTTGGGAAGATTGCATTGCAGAACAGGCAGAGGCGCTGCACAATGATTCCTATGGAATCATTATTGATTGGTAATAAGGGGATGTTTAGCTTGAATTGCACTTCTCAGTCTGCATGCCACAGCCACACTATGTTCAGCTGGTCTAAACAAAATGGTCAGATGGTAGAAATGGTAAGAAATACAGCAAGAGTTCCTATTATCTGGAAACATGGTGGTATAGTACCACCTCAGCCTCAAATGATATGGCCCACTGTAGGAGCTAAACATAAGGATTTGTGGAAACTATTAATGGCTTTTAATAAGATCAAAATGTGGGAAAGAATAAAAAAGTATCTAGAAGGACACTCTACAAACTTGTCTTTGGATATTGCAAAATTAAAAGAACAAATATTTAAAGCATCCTAGGCACACCTGACCTTAATACCAGGAACTGGAGTGCTTGAAGGAGCTACCAACGGATTAGCAGCAAGTAACCCATTAAAATAGATAAAAATACTTGGAAGCTCTGTGATTTCAATGATGATTGTGCTTTTAATCCATGTAGTTTGTCTCTGTATAGTCTGCAGATGCAGATTCCGATTCCTGTGAGAAGTAGCTCACCGTGATAAAGCTGCCTTTGCTTTTATCATCTTGCAAAAGCAACAAGGGGGAATATGTTGGGAACAGGCCCCCAAATCTGGCCATAAACTGGCCCCAAAACTGGCCATAAACAAAATCTCTGCAGCACTGTGACATGCTTGTGATGGCCATGATGCCCACGCTGAAGGTTGTGGGTTTACTGGAATGAGGGCAAGCAATACCTGGTCCACCCAGGGCAGAAAACCACTTAAAGGCGTTCCTAAACCACAAGCAATAGTATGAGTGGTCTGTGCCTTAAGGACATGTTCCTGCTGCAGATAACTAGCCAGAGCCCACCCCTTTGTTTTGGCCCATCCCTTTATTTCCCATAAGGAATACTTTTAGTTAATCTATAATCTATAGAAATAATGCTTGTCACTGGTATGCTGTCAATAAATATGTGGGTCAAACTCTGTTCGGGGCTGTCAGCTCTGAAGGCTGTCAGCCCCCTGATTTCCCACTCCGCACTGTATATTTCTGTGTGTGTGTCTTTAATTCCTCTAGCACCACTGGGTTAGGGTCTCCATGACTGAGCTGGTCTCGGCAGAGACGGAATCTCGCTCGGTCACCAGGCTGGAGTGCAGTGGCGTGATCTCGGCTCAGTGCAACCTCCACCTCCCAGGTTCAAGCATTCTCCTGCCTCAGCCTCCTGAGTAGCTGGGACTACAGGTGCATGCCACCAAGCCCAGCTAATTTTTCTATTTTTTAGTAGAGATGGGGTTTCACCATGTTGGCCAGGATGGTCTCAATCTCTTGACCTCGTGATCCACCTGCCTTGGCCTCTCAAAGTGCTGAGATTACAGGCGTGAGCCACCGCGCCTGGCCATGCTTCATAAGTATTTGCTAAATGGATGCAAAATCATTAGTATAGCCTTAGAAAAATATGGGTTTAAATTATCTCAATGAAACGTGAAATTTCAAAACCCAAATTTTGACATAAAAGATATATTGTTTCTTTTAAGCTCCCTGTGAATTTGCAATCATTTGAAAATAGAAAGTTCAAAACAAACACAAAAGTGTTAGCTCTTTTCTCCCAATCTGTTCCCTGTTTCTCAAAGGCCTGGAAGAGAAGAGGAATAAAAGGAGAAAGGAAAAGAAGCAGGGTGGAAAGTAATACATAAAAACTGGCCCCTTACAATTGGCAATATTTGATTAAATCGTATAGATTATCCAATGGTGTTACTGTTCAATTTTTTTGTATATTTAGTAGAGATGGGATTTCACTGTGTTAGCCAGGATGGCCTCAATCTCCTGACCTCAAGATTTGCCCGCCTCGGCCTCCCAGAGTGCTGGGATTACAGGCGTGAGCCACTGCACCCGGCCATTTTTGTTTATTTTTTATTTTTTATTTTTTTTGAGATGGAGTCTCACTGTGTCACCCAGGCTGAAGTGCAGTGGCACAATCTCGGCTCTGTTCAATTCTTGATTTTGATAATTGCACCATGATTAATTAAGAGAATCTTAGTCCATTCAGGCTGCAATAACCAAATACCATGGACTGGGTGGCTTCTAAACAACAGAAATTTATTTCTTACAGTTCTGGAGGCTGGGAAGTTCAAGATCAAGACACCAGCAGTGTTGGTATCTGGTGAAGGCCACTTTCCCATGGATGGCACCTTTTTGCTGTGTCCTTGCAAGGTGGAAGGTGCAAGGCAGCTCTCAGGTGCTCTATTATAAAGACACTAATCCCAAACCCCTGCCTCCTAATACTATCTCTTTGGGGCTTGGGATTTCAGTGTATGAATTTAGGGGAACCACAAGCATTCAGATCAAAGCAGAGAATGTCCCTGTTTTTAGGAAGTCCACGCTGAAGTATTTAGGAGTAGAAGGGCATCATGTCTGCAACTTAATGCTAAAACAGTTTAGAAAAAAATACACTTGGATATATTGAGAGAATGAAAGAGCAAACATGAAGTGTTAACATCTAGGTGAAAGGCATGTGGGAATTCTGTGCACCATTCTTGCAGCTTTTCTGTAAATCTGAAATTATGTCAAAATAAAAAGTTAAAAAAATACTGGCCCATTTGCAAATCTAGTGGACCTCTCTGGTCTATAAATAATCAGCAAACTGGGCCTTTGAGATGCCATCTCAGCCCTTTTCTGTGGAGAGGTGGATACCTGTTCTCCATCTTCTACTTTGCCCCTATTCTGCTGTCATCCTAGATCATTCTCATCCTACATGTGGCCTCTTGGCCACTCCCCTCTCCACCTCCATGACTTTCTCCTCCATGTCACCTCAGCCACTCACTCTCCTGGTCATACCCCAAGCCACCTCCCAAATCACTACTTAGATAGCAACCTCTCAACCATCCAATTAGCCTGCTCAACTACTCTCACCTACCTGTTCTCTAATCTTCACTGCCTCTGACTCCTCATCTTCAATTCCAAGGTTATATAGTTAAACCACATTTTTGCAATATTTATTTATTTATGTATTTATTCATTTATTTATATTTTTTGGGTTGTTTGTTTTTTTTTTTTGAGACAGAGTCTCGCTCTGTTGCCCAGGCTGGAGTGCAGTGGCGCGATCTTGACTCACTGCAACCTCCGCCTCCCAGGTTCAAGCGATTCTCCTGCCTCAGCCTCCCGAGTAGCTAGGACTACAGGAGCATGCCACCACACCCAGCTAATTTTTTTGTATTTTTAGTAGAGACAGGGTTTCACCATGTTAGCCAGGATGGTCTCAATCTCCTGACATCATGATTTGCCCGCCTTGGCCTCCCAGAGTGCTGGGATTACAGGCATGAGCCACTGCACCTGGCCGTTTTTGTTTGTTCATTTGTTTTTGTTTTTTGTGTTTTTGAGATAGAGTCTCACTCTGCTGCCCAGGCTGGAGTGCAGTGGCTCAATCTCAGCTCACTGCAACCTCCACCTCCCCAGTTGAAGCGATTCACCTGCCTCAGCCTCTCGAGTAGCTGGGATTACAGGTGCCCACCACCACGCTTGGCTAATTTTTGTATTTTTAGTAGAGACGGGGTTTCACCATGTTGGCTACGCTGGTCCCAAACTCCTGACCTCATGATCTGCCTGCCTCGACCTCCCAAAGTGCTGGGATTACAGGCATGAGCCACCGTGCCTGGCCTATTCATTTATTTGTTTTGAGATGGTCTCACTGTTGCCCAGGCTGAGTGCAGTGGGGTAATCATGACTCACTGTAGCCTCAACCTCCCAGGCTTAAACAATCCTCCCACCTCAGCTTCCTGAGTAGCTGGGACTATAGGCACGCACCACCACACCCAGCTAATTTTACTTTTTGTAGAGAAGGGGTCTTGCTATGTTACCCAGGTTGGTCTCAAATGCCTGGACTCAAGCAATCCTCCCACCTCAGCCTCCTAAATTACTGGGATTACAGGCATAAGCGACTGCTCCTATCTTTTGCCCCCTTTTGCCTTTCTTTCCATCCCATTCACTCAGCAAACCCTAACCCTGTATGAAGCCAGCTCTATTCTCTTGTTGGAGCTATACTTCAGCTGCTGGATTGTGCTTGAGAAGTAACGTGTGTTTAAGTGGGTGCCCCAGTCTCAGGTGGGCCTTCAGCACTGTCAGATAATCTTCCCCAGTAAGTTTATCCTTCCTTTCTTCATGAAGTTGTACTTGACCCGCCCCCACACCCCCAAAAAAGAGAGAAAAAAATAATTGCCCTCAGATGGAAATTTGCATTAGCTCCCCACCGTCAAGTCTTTAAACTCAGTGTCCTCAGCACTAGTTCTTTCCTCCAGCTCCCTGTAACAGTGGAGGGTGTTCCACCTTCCCGGCCGAGGCTGGTCCCTCTGCTGGAGAGACAGAGACAGCTGCTTAAGGTTTCCACCTCTCAGCGAGGACCTTACTATCACCCCTCTCAGACCTTGGTCTTTAACCTCTAACTTTCTACAGCTGCCCTTTCATAAACACATCTTCTCCTTTGGTGGTGAGGAGTTAAAACCAAGTTCCCATCTAAGGGCACCTATTTTTAGCCCCCTTGAAGTAGTGAGATCATCTATGGAGAATAAAGGAGGAGATAGAAAAGTCTTCCCCATCCATCTAAACAAAACAACCCCCTGGAGCCCCCCTTCCCTTACAGTTACTGCCCTCTTTCTCACCTGCTTTCAGCCAGATTTCTTGAAGGAGCCATCTATTGTCTTTCTCTGTGTTTCTGTATCTCCTATTCATTCCTCTGCCGTTCTCTTACCTCTGGTAATTCACCAAAACAGCTGTGGCCAAGATCATGGCAGCTTTCTTGGTTTTTTGTTTTTGTTTGTCTGTTTGTTTTAGATGGAGTCTCGCTCTGTCGCCCAGGCTGGAGTGCAGTGGTGCGATCTCGGCTCACTGCAACCTCCACCTCCCAGGTTCAAGCAGTTCTCCTGCCTCAGCCTCCTGAGTAGCTGGGATTACAGGCACCTGTGGCGGGAGCACTTGGCACTCCCTTCTGTGACCTCCTGGGCTCAAGCAATCCTTCTGCCTCGGCCTCCTAAGTAGCTGGGACCACAGGTGCAAGCCACGACATCAAGTTATTTTTTCTATTTTTTTAGAGACAGGGTCTCACTATGTTGACCAGGCTGGTCTGAAACTCTTAGGCTGTCAATCCTCCCATCTCACGCCCAGCTAATTTTTGTATTTTTAGTAGAGATGGGGTTTCACCTTGCTGGCCAGGCTGGTCTCACACTCCTGACCTCAGGTGATCCACCAGCCTTGGCCTCCCAAAGTGCTGGGATTACAGGCGTGAGCCACCGTGCCCAGCCGCCTTCTTGTTTTTAAATCCTGTGGACAGGTTTAATCCCGTCTCGACCTCCCTATAGCACTTGGCACTCCCTTATAAGACTCCCTGTCTTATAAAGCAACATTTCCCCAGTACCTGGCATAGGGCCTGGTACATAGTAGGTGCTCAACAAATTTTATTTTATATTTACATTGAAACAGAATTCTTTGAATTGTGGAACATAGCATCTTAGGGCCTAAAGGATCTGGCCACTGCCTTCATCTTTTCACTTATCTCCTACCCAAACCCTAGGCTCCAACTATACTACATAGTTGCAATTCTCCAAACCACCCAAACTCCTACTTTTCCATATTTTTTAAATGTGCTGTTTACTGTCTGGGAGTCCTTTTCAGGGACACCTACTCCATTTCTCCACATTGTCTCCCTGGTGAAACTTTTGCTCTTTTGTTAGTTTGAAAATCACTTTCTTTAGGAAGCCCTTCCTAATTCCCCCTAGCAGAGCTGTCTTCTCCCTCCAAGCTTCTCCTAGATTCTTTCCACAGACCACAGCTATCAGTGATTCCCAAGCATGTTCAGAGAAACAATGGTTCCAAAGTTGTTCATGAAAGGGTTGCACTGGCTCATAAATTTGGGAAATGCTGAGTTAAACTGGTTTTTTGTTTCTTTTCTTGAGAGAGGGTCTCACTTTGTCACCCAGGCTAGACTGCAGTGGCAAGATCATAGTTCACTGCAGCCTTGACCTCCTGGGCTCAAGCAATCCTTCTGCCTTGGCCTCCTAAGTAGCTGGGACCACAGGTGCAAACCACAACATCGAGGTATTTATTTTATTTTTTTAGAGACAGGGTCTCATTATGTTGACCAGGCTGGTCTGAAACTCTCAGGCTGTCAATTCTCCCATCTCAGCCCCACAAAGTGCTGGGATTGAAGGTGTGAGCCATTGTGCCCAGCCTAAACTGGTTTTCTAGATTTCTTTGCTACAGGACTTCTCAGAGCCTTTGCATTGCTTACTTTCATTAGTAACTTCCAATATAATTTGTAACATTTCTCAAACTTAATTAACCAAAGAACAACTCCCCATTTTTGTGGAGCATTTTTTGGCACTACCACATAGATCATTTCAGAACCTTTGTCTTGTCGTAGAACTTGCCCTATTTTATAATTATTTTGTGCAGGCCTCTCCCCTTCTAAACTGTGGGCTGCTTAAGGCAGAGACAGTATTTTATTTATCTCTGGATGCACAGTGCCTAATATATAATAGCTACTCAATACATGTTGGTTGAAAGAATATGGGAAAGGGAAGGTAAGAGAGGAAGGGAAAGAATGGTGAAATAAGAGAAAGAAGGCTTCTTGAGGCTGGGCGTGGTGACTCACACCTGTAATCCCAGCACTTTGGGAGGCCAAGGTGGGTGGATCACCTCGGTCAGGAGTTCGAGAGCAGCCTGGCCAACATGGTAAAACCCCAACTCTACTAAAAATACAAAAATTAGGCAGGCATGGTGGTGGGTGCCTGTAATCCCAGCTACTCGGGAGGCCGAGGCAGTAGAATTGCTTGAACCTGGGAGGCAGAGGTTGCAGTGAGCCAAGATCGCACCACTGCACTCCAGCCTGGATGAAAGAGCAAGACTCTGTCTAAAAAAAAAAGAAGAAGCCTTCTTGATTTTTACATTTAACATCCCAGAAACCCAGTACTTAGATTCTACCATAAATATTTTATTCTACTTGCTTCATCACATCTATCCATCTATCCATCCCTCGCATCAGCCATGGATCCATCTTCACTTCCTTTTTACTTGTGTGTGTTTGCAAGCTTATTTTTCCTCAGATCGTGGAAACACCTTAATTCTGAAATCCTCTTGGAACAAGCATCCTGATAGACTGTATTGTTCAGCTCCTCCTTGCTCATTCCCAGCACCTCCCACTCTTCCCCTGACACAGGCAGGCCTCTCTTTGTGGAATGAGCGGTGCCTCCTAGAGGGAGGGAACTTTTTAGAGCACGAAGAGTCTGCCCACCCCAGGGGTCAGAGACACTGCTTGCTCGCTCTCATTACCATGTTTAATTTTAAGGAAAGTGCAGAATGTTTCCGGACTTGGGTTTTCCCGCTTCTCAAAGGAAAGGTTGAGGCCTAGGATTCCATAAGGTCCTCCCTATCCCAGGATAATTATTACTGACCAAAGAAGGGATTGCATTGACCAAACTCTTGCCCACTGGAACTGCTCCCAGGGAGGGTCAGATGATGTCACCTTCCCCAGGAGCCAGGGGGCAGGTGTGAAGTCCCTGGGCAGACACCCCTGTGTTGATCTCGCTTCTTGAGGAGGGAGAGCCTTGTGTGTTGAATGCTGAGAGGGCTTTAGAATGGCCGAGACTCCATTTCTAACCAGCTGTGTGGCTTTGGGAAGACCCCTCACCTCCCGGACTCTCAGTATCCTAGTCTATGAAAAAGGGGATTATACTCTCTCACATCTGGAAGGGTTGGCTGAGATAAGGCTGGTAGGGCACAGGCCACGGTACAGAAAGGGGGCACAACAAATGTAAGTCATCCCCATCCCCGCCTTCAGCCAGGCAGAGGGCAGCAGGCCAGGGAGCCCATGGTTGTCTGCCAATGTTGCCAGCACAGGTGTCTGGGCCAATGAGGGTGCATCTCCTCTCACAGAGGCACTATTGTTCCCACCAGGGGAGCTGGACGTGAGCGTGACTCTTGGGAAGGGAGGAGGGAAGATTAGAGGCACTAGAAGGGCTGTGAGCAGAAGATAATGCTGCAGAAAGCTCTGCTCCCCCAGAATGACCTCGTGGCCTGCTAGTATCCCGAAAAGTTCTGTGCAGCCCACTTCTATCAGGGCTGGGCCATTAACTCAAAAGTGTTCTTGGTGCACAGGAATGTTCTTTGTGACAGAGTCTATCACCCAGCATTGACAGAGCCTCTTCTGAGCCCTCATGGTTCCTTCCCACGGGGCAGCCTGGGCTCTCATTCTCATTATCTCCAAGGAGCCTCACACTCTATGAAGTACCTGGGGAAAAAACCATCATCCCATCTGTATTCGTTTGCTATGGCTGCCATCACAAAGTACCATAGACCGGGTGGCTTAAACAACAGAAATTCGTTTTCTCACCGTTCTGGAAGCTGCAAGTCTGAGATCAAGGAGTTGGCAGAATCAGTATCCTCTGCGGCCTTTCTCCTTTCTTTGTAGGTGGCATTCTCTCCCTGTGTCTTCCCATGGTCTTCCCACTGTAACTGTCTGTGTCCTCTTCTTATAAGGATACCAGCCATATTGAATTAGGGCCCACACTAATGACCTCATTTTAACTTAATTGCCTCTTTAAAGGCACAATCTGTAAATAACAGTCACATTCTGAGGTCCTGGGGGTTAGAGCTTCCACATATGGATTGGGTGGGTGGGGAGTGGACAGATGCAGTTTGGCCCATGTAGCATCTTACAGGTGAAACAACTGAGGCCTAAGAGGGTCAGTGGCTCATACTGGGCAGGGCCAGACCTAGAATCAGGACAGGAGACCCTCCCTCTCTGCCTCCACTCACAACCCAGCCTCCACTTGCCTGTCCCAAAGAGGAAGAGGATGGTGGGTGAGGGCAGTCATCCGTCTGACTCCCCACCAAACCTCCCAGCTGGTGGCAGTGACAGGTCAGGCAAGCCACTGTGCTGGGCACAGACAGGAATAGCAGAAGGGGAGACATTCTCTAGGGCAGTGCTTTTCAAACTTTTATATGCGTGGGGGAATTATACCTGGTGAACTCCATTAAAATTAATTATTTATTTATTTATTTATTTATTTATTTATTTATTTTTGGGTTTTTTTGAGTCAGGGTTTCGCTGTGTTGCCCAGGCTGGAGTGTACTGGCTGTTCACAGGTACAATCATAGCTTACTACAGCCTCGAATTCCTGGACTCAAGAGATCCTCCTTCCTCAGCCTCCTCAGTAGCTGAGACTACAGAGCTGTGCCACCGTTCTGGCTAAAAATTAAGTAATTTTAAGTAATTAAGTTAAAATGAGGTCATTAGGATGGGCCCTAATCCAATCCAGGCTCTGACTTGGCCTCTCTGGGGAAGGGCCCAAGACTCTGCATTTCCCACAGGCTGCCAGGTAAGGCCAATGCTGCTGGTTTCTAGACCACACTGAGCAGTAGCAAGGTTTAGACCAGCACGCTCCATGAGAAATAGATGTCATTCTAAATTTTCTAATATCACATCAAGAAAAGTAAAAAGAAACAGGTGGGCCAGGTGCCATGGCTCAGGCCTGTAATCACAACACTTTGGGAAGCCAAGGTAGGAGAACAGCTTGAAACCAAGAGTTTGAGTCCAGCCTGGGCAACATAGTGAGACCCCATTTCTATAAAAAATAATTGTAAAAATTAGTTGAGGCCGGGCGTGGTGGCTCATGCCTGTAATCCCAGCACTTTAGGAGGCCGAGGCGGGCGGCTCACTTGAGGTCAGGAGTTCGAGACCAGCCTGGCCAACATGGTGTAACCCCGTCTCTACTAAAAATATATACAAAAATTAGCTGGGCGCGGTGGTGCCCACCTGTAGTCCCAGCTACTCGGGAGGCTGAGGCAGGAGAATCGCTTGAACCCAGGAGGTGGAGGCTGCAGTGAGCTGAGTTCACATCACTGCACTCCAGCCTGGGCGACAGAGCAAGACTCCATCTCAAAATAAATAAATAAATAAATAAAAAATCAGTTGGGCAGGTTAGCGCCTGCTGATAGTCCTAGCTACTCAAGGGGCTGAGGCAGGAGAATTGCCTGAGCCCAGGAGTTGGAGGCTGCAGTGACCTATGATCATGCCAGTGCACTCCAGGCTGGGCGACAGAGAGAGAGCCTACCCCTAAAAAAAAGAAACAGGGCTAGGCCTGGTGGCTCACGTCTGTAATCCCAGTAATTTGGGAGGCCAAGGTGGGATGATCGCTTGAGTCCAGAAGTTTGAGATCAGCCTGGGCAACAGAGTAAGACCTTGTCTCTACAAAAAACAAACAAACAAAATATGGCCGGGCATGGTGGCTCATATCTGTAATTCCAGCACTTTGGGAGGCTGAGGCAGGTGGATCACCTGAGGTCAGGAGTTCAAAACCAGCCCGGCCAACATGGTGAAACCCAGTCTCTACTAAAAACACAAATAGCTGGGTGTGGTGGTGGGCACCTGTAATCCCAGCTACTCAGGAGGCTGAGGCAGAAGAATTGCTTGAACCCGGGAGGCAGAGGTTGCAGTGAGCTGAGATAGTGCCACTGCACTGTAGCCTGGGTGACAGAGCGAGACTATGTCTCAAAAAAAAAAAATTTTAGTTGGATGTGGTGGTGCACTCCTGTGGTTTCAGCTGCTCAGGAGGCTGAGGGAGGAAGATGGCTTGAGCTAGGGAGATCGAGGTCGCAGTGAGCCATAATCATGCCACTGCACTCTAGCCAGGGTGAGAGAACAAAACCCAGTCTCAAAAAAAGAAATGGGAAAAATTAGCTTGTGTGTGTGTGTGTGTGTGTGTGTGTGTGTGTGTGTGTGTGTATTTTTTTTTTGAGATGGAGTCTCACTCCATCACCCAGGCTGGAGTGTAGCGGTGTGATCTCAGCTCACTGCAACCTTCACCTCTAAGGTTCAAGCAATCCTCCTACCTCAGCCTCCTGAGTAGATGGGATTACAGGTGCCTGCCACCATGCCCAGCTAATTTTTGTTTTTTTGCAGAGACTAGGTTTCACCATGTTGGCCAGGCTGGTCTCAAACTCCTGACCTCAAGTGGTCCTCCCTCCTTGGCCTCCCAAAGTGCTGGGATTACAAGCTCTAATATATTTTTAACCCAATATATAACAAACATGATGATGATAATTTCAGAACATTAAGCCTTATAAAAAGTGTTAATGGGATATTTTACATTATTTTGTTTGTACTAAGTCTTTAGATACTTTATAGCACATCTCACTTGGGACTCTAAATTCTTATGAGAAATACTTCACAAAATTTACAGTTAAAAAAATAGGATCACACATATAAATTGTTCTAAACCTACTTAAAAGTTTTCAAAACACTGAATCCAGTATTAGTTTTTAAATTTAAATTTAAGTTAATTAAAATCAAATAAAATTAAAAATGTAAGGCTGGGCACAATGGCTCACGCTTGTAATCCCAGCACTTTGGGAGGCCAAGGCGGGGTGATCACTTGAGCTCAGGAGTTCGAGACTAGCCTGGCCAACATGTGAAACCCTGTCTCTACTAAAAATACTAAAATTAGCCGGGCATGGTGGTGCGTGCCTGTAATCCCAGCTACTTGGGAGGCTGAGGCATGAGAATCACTTGCACCTGGGAGGCGGAGGTTGCAATAAGCTGAGATCGCACCACTGCACTCCCGCCTGGGTGACAGAGCGAGACTCTGTCCCCTGCCAGACTCCCACAAAAATTTAGTTCTTGGGTCGTATTACCCTATTTATAAAAATTTTTTTTATAGTGAGACCCAATCTCTAGCATTACCCCATTTCGAATGCTGAAAAGCTACATGGGGCTAGCGGCTACTATATAAGACAGCATAGGACTAGACCACCAGGAAGAAGAATGACATAAATGAAGGATCCCCAGCTCCACAGAGGACTTGGGACAGAAACAGCCCAAGACCCAGACAGCAGCCAGAGTAGGAGCCCAGGGAAAGGGCTTTTGGAAACAAAGAGCTCAAGGTGACTCAAATGCACCCCAAGATCTAAGCACCAGGCATTGCAGCCTGCTCTGGAGGAAGGGGTCGGCAGGAGATGGGGTGGTGGGAAGAAATCCCAAACCTGCCAAAGTAGGAATGGGTGGAAAAGCAAGAACTATGTCCAGGGAAAATAAAAAAGCACTTCTGGGGTTGGATTCTGGAGAGCGACCTGTGCAGGGGAGCTTGACCTTCTCCTGGGCACCTCTAGGAGGCAAAACCAGGACCAAGGGTGGTCATTATAGGAAGCTGCTTGGGGCTCAAACCAACAATGAGGTTTTAAACAAGGAGAGCTCCCCAGTAATGGAAACAGGGAGCTTCCCGCCCTTGGAATCCTAGACAGAAAATGTTCTACAGGAATTACCTCCTCCTCATCCAGTGGAATAGCAAAACAGAGGCTGGGAAGTTACCTGTTGAGAGGCTGCAGAGGGGTTTCTTCCTGTACAAAGGATTGAATAATAAGTTCCCTCCAGTTAGGCACCTATTGATACTGTATTTGGAGTAACTGACCTTTCCAGAGGACTTATTGTCAGGCAGCTAAACCCCTGAACTAAGCACTTTACTGCCATTTCATCCGCACTAAAGTCATGAGCCTGGTCCTCTAGTTTTCTACACTTCTTAGAGGAGGAAACTGAGCCGATGAGTTTTGAAGTCATGTTTCCCGGCCAGAAGATGCTCGAGCGAGGCTTTACAGGCGGGCAGTCTGGTTCCAGGGCATGCCACTGCACCACACTGCCCAGAAGGAGGCTCAGCCTGTCTTGTCCTCTCCCTGCTTGGCCTTAACCAGCCACATTTCTCAACTGACCCCACTCACTGCAGAGGTGAAAACTACCATGCCAGGTCCTGCTGGCTGGGGGAGGGGTGGGCAATAGGCCTGGATTTGCCAGAGCTGCCACTGTAGATGTAGTCATATTTACGATTTCCCTTCACCTCTTATTACCCTGGTGGTGGTGGTGGGGGGGGGGGGGTGCTCTCTCAGCAACCCCACCCCGGGATCTTGAGGAGAAAGAGGGCAGAGAAAAGAGGGAATGGGACTGGCCCAGATCCCAGCCCCACAGCCGGGCTTCCACATGGCCGAGCAGGAACTCCAGAGCAGGAGCACACAAAGGAGGGCTTTGATGCGCCTCCAGCCAGGCCCAGGCCTCTCCCCTCTCCCCTTTCTCTCTGGGTCTTCCTTTGCCCCACTGAGGGCCTCCTGTGAGCCCGATTTAACGGAAACTGTGGGCGGTGAGAAGTTCCTTATGACACACTAATCCCAACCTGCTGACCGGACCACGCCTCCAGCGGAGGGAACCTCTAGAGCTCCAGGACATTCAGGTACCAGGTAGCCCCAAGGAGGAGCTGCCGACCTGGCAGGTAAGTCAATACCTGGGGCTTGCCTGGGCCAGGGAGCCCAGGACTGGGGTGAGGACTCAGGGGAGCAGGGAGACCACGTCCCAAGATGCCTGTAAAACTGAAACCACCTGGCCATTCTCCAGGTTGAGCCAGACCAATTTGATGGCAGATTTAGCAAATAAAAATACAGGACACCCAGTTAAATGTGAATTTCAGATGAACAGCAAATACTTTTTTAGTATTAAAAAAGTTCACATTTAGGCTCACGCCTGTAATCCCAGCACTTTGGGAGGCCGAGGCAGGCAGATCACCTGAGGTCAGGAGTTCGAGACCAGCCTGGCCAACATGGTGAAACCCCATCTCCACTAAAAATACCAAAAATTAGCCAGGCGTGCTGGTGGGCACCTGTAGTTCCAGCTACTCAGGAGGCTAAGGCAGGAGAATTGCTTGAACCTGGGAGGCAGAGGTTGCAGTGAGCTGAGATCGCACCATTGCACTCTAGCCTGGGCGACAAGAACAAAACTCCATCTCAAAAAAAAAAAAAAAAAAAAAGTTCACATTTAACTGGGCATTCTGTATTTAATTGGTAATCTGAGATGGCAGGGAACAGCATCAGCATGGTGTGAGGGATAGGCATTTTTTCATTGTGTACAGCTTGTAAATCAGTATTTTTAAAACTCAAAGTTAATGGCTTGGGCATATTTAGAAAAGAGTTGCCGCACGGACTTGAACCCTGTATTCCTAAAATCTAGGATCTTGTTCTGATGGTCTGCACAACTGGCTGGGGGTGTCCAGCCACTGTCCCTCTTGCCTGGGCTCCCCAGGGCAGTTCTGTCAGCCTCTCCATTTCCATTCCTGTTCCAGCAAAACCCAACTGATAGCACAGCAGCATTTCAGCCTGTCTACCTCTGTGCCCACATACCTGGATGTCTACCAGCCAGAAAGGTGGCTTAGATTTGGTTCCTGTGGGTGGATTATGGCCCCCAGAACTTCCCTGTGCTTGCTGGGGGTGTGGAGTGGAAAGAGCAGGAAATGGGGGACCCTCCGATACTCTATGGGGGTCCTCCAAGTCTCTTTGTGCAAGTTAGGGTAATAATCAATATGGAGCTAAGAAAGAGAAGGGGAACTATGCTTTAGAACAGGACACTGTGCCAGGAGCATTGCAGAAATTATATGGTTTTCACGACAGTTCTTTTTGGTAGGTACTGTTATTATCCTCAGTTTGCAGATGAGGAAACTGAGACCCAGAAAGGTTAAATAACTTGCTAGGGTCACACAAGTCATAACTGACAAAGCCTGATTCAAACCCAGGTCTCCCTAACCTTTAAGGTTTCTATGACGCCAGCTCTCCTAGGGAGTTTGTCTTCAGATGTCTTGGCTCTAGGTGTCAAAAAAAGACTTGGTGTCAGGCAGGCATAGGTTCAAGTCCCAACTCTGTCACTTACCAACTGTGACTAGGTGATTGAACTGACCATGGAACCTGGTCACATGCAGGAGCAGGATGGTGAAGGGTTCTTGAAGGCACTTAGGCAGGACATTTAGGCAGGAGAGAAAACCTGGAAACAGAAGAGCTGTCTCCAAAAATACCCACTGGGGAAGCAGGTTGTCATGTGGGCCATGAATGGGACCTGTTCTGGTAACCAAGCATTGCTTATGTGTCCATTACATTTCATAACACTTCCATCCTACTTTACAGGGAACAACCAAGACTGGGGTTAAATCTCACAGCCTGCAAGTGGAAGAGAAGAACTTGAACCCAGGTCCAACTTTTGCGCCACAGCAGGCTGCCTCTTGGTCCTGACAGGAAGTCACAACTTGGGTCTGAGTACTGATCCCTGGCTATTTTTTGGCTGTGTTACCTTGGACAAGTCACTTATTCCTCCTCCCGTTTCCTCCTATGTAAAATGGAAATAATAATGTTGACCCTGGGTCTGAGAGAGTGGATTTGAAAGTACTTAGTGCATCACAAAGCACAGAACACACTTCCAGTCTCGTGATTATGTACTTATGTAACTGGTCATCACCCATCTTGAGAATGAATGCATTGGGGAAAGGGCCATCCACTAGGCTGCGAAGTTTCTGAGGGACTCCTTCGGGCTGGAGAAGGATGGCCACAGGAGGGAGGAGAGATTGCCTTATCCTGCAGTGATCATGTCATTGAGAACAGAGCCAGATTCTTTTTTTCCTGGCAGGGCCAACTTGTTTTAACATCTAAGGACTGAGCTATTTGTGTCTGTGCCCTTTGTCCAAGCAGTGTTTCCCAAAGTGTAGCCCAAGAACCATCTCCCTCAGAGCCACCAGGAAGTGCTTTAAATTGCAGGTTCCTAGGCCACAGCCTGCACCTGCAGAGTCAGAATCATGGAGGTTGGGACCCAGGCACCTGCGTTTCTAACAAATGCCTCGGGTGATTCTGATGCAATTGAAAGTTTGAGATCCACAGTTCTGAGACAATAACAGAATGGTTTTTCTAACCCCTGCAGCCCTGACTTCCTATCCTAGGGAAGGGGCCGGCTGGAGAGGCCAGGACAGAGAAAGCAGATCCCTTCTTTTTCCAAGGACTCTGTGTCTTCCATAGGCAACATGTCAGAAGGGGTAAGTACCCTGTCCTCCAGGGCTCTCCTCCACCCACCTTCCCTCTCTTCTCTCTCTTCCCTCTCCCTCCCTCCTTACTTCTCTATCTTATGCTCTGCCCGGGAATATAGGCACACACTTCTATAACCCCTGTGTGGGTCCTGACCCCACAAAAGGAGGAGGCTTAACAATGACCTTGGGCAAAAGAACTGAAGGTCTGAGCAGGCCCATTTCCCTGGCTGGCTCAGGCTGATGCGGTTGGCTGTTCCTCTTTTTCCTTTCTCTGCCCAGGTGGGCACGTTCCGCATGGTACCTGAAGAGGAACAGGAGCTCCGTGCCCAACTGGAGCAGCTCACAACCAAGGACCATGGACCTGTCTTTGGCCCGTGCAGCCAGCTGCCCCGCCACACCTTGCAGAAGGTGAGGTGGCTGACAGTGCGGAGAGGAGCAGCCTAGGGAGGCAACATGAGGGGAACATGACTGCATTCTCTCTCCTGTGAAAAGGGTCCAGCCTCGGCACTCCAGATCATCCTGGACCTGATAGACTGGCCGGTTCTAAGGTCCTTCCTGGTGGTCACGGCTATGGCAGCAACTGGGTTGACCAGACACCCAGCCAGGCCAGCCCAACCCAAGACTACAGCCCAGAGCCTCGGAACTAGGGCCCTCTAAACTAGACTCAATATGAGAAGCATTGGTTTGGAAATGGCCCCGGGGAACAAGGATCCAACTGCTGCCCCTGCTAGACAGGCAAGAGACTTGAGTTCCAGAACCAGACCTACTTTCAGCTTGCTGTGTGACCTTAGGCAGATTGCTTTCCATCTCTGGGTCTTGCCTTCTGTATCTATGAAAGACGGTTGGTGGACTAGCTCAGAGGTGATCAGATTGTGCTCTGTGGAGGCTGACAGAGCTGTCTTAGGGCTGCTGGGGAGGATGAGAAGTGGCTGAGCTGAGCCTGGGCACCCAGCTTCCATCTCTGCTTCCTTGGGCATCTCAAGGGAAAGGTGCTATTAGCTCCTTCACACTTTACTCCCCCTCCTTTCCCTTCCCTCCTCATGCTGTCCAAGGAGAGAGCTGCCTGAGGCGCACGGAGGAGTTCTCCTGACCCAGCAGAGGGGAGGAATGTGAGGCTCTGGGCAGGAGGCAGGCTGCCATCTGCCAGAGAGCCGTGTTTTTGAAAAAATCAGAATCAAGCCTGGGAGGCAGCAGAGTGAAATGATGGAAAGAGGAGTCCCAGCTCCACTCCTTTCTCTCTGGGTGACCTTGAGCAAGAATATCTTCACCTTTATGAGCCTCAGTCTGCTCATCTGAGAGCTGGGGATAAGAACACCTACCATGATGGTCTGTGGCAAAGATTAAAAAACACAGTGCATTTAAAGGACTTAGCAGGTTGCTAGGCAAAGGCTCAGTGAGTGTAGGCAGTCATTTTTAGAAACTTTTAGACTGTTGGCCATATTCTGCAAATATGCGAATTCTCTCCACACACAACAGTCTCAGGTGTTGCCAGTGCAGATGCTGCCCCTGGGGCAGAAAAGCAAAGCTGCGGCTGCAGACCCCTGGGCCCCCTTGGCTGGTCTAGCTCTGGCAGGAGACTCATCACCTGTGTGTCCTGCCCCTCACCCGCACCTAAGTTTAACTTCATGCACACCCCACCCTGTTCTAGGCCAAGGATGAGCTGAACGAGAGAGAGGAGACCCGGGAGGAGGCAGTGCGAGAGCTGCAGGAGATGGTGCAGGCGCAGGCGGCCTCGGGGGAGGAGCTGGCGGTGGCCGTGGCGGAGAGGGTGCAAGAGAAGGACAGCGGCTTCTTCCTGCGCTTCATCCGCGCACGGAAGTTCAACGTGGGCCGTGCCTATGAGCTGCTCAGAGGTGAGGCCAGTGCTTGGAGGGACGGCCCTGGGAAGACGGGAGGCCATGAGGATGCTATCCGCTCTCATCCTGGCACTGAACAGGCCTGCTTCCATACTGTGGGCAAGTCAGTTTCTCTGAGCCTCCACATCCTTACCTGTAAAATGGGTCAGCTCTGATAATGAGCGAACGAATGAATGAATGAAGTGTGTCAGGAGCAGATTTCTGGAGGTCTGAGTCCTCTCAACTCTCTCCCAGTCTTGGGATTCAATGAGTAAAACTTGGGTACCCCATTTGGGTGACGAGGGGAGGAATTTCCCCTCCAGACCCCCACCATGAGAACCTAAGCTTTGGCTCTGGAATGCTGCAGGAAGGTGGATAGTGCCTCTCTCAGGGCAGTTACCTAAGCCTCATGTGCAGTGGAACTGAAGATGGTGTCAGACCTGGGAATGAACCCCGGGGACAGAACCGCTCTGGCACTGCTGGCTGGATGAAGACAGGATGCCTCAAGAAATCATCGGCCGGTTGCGGTGGCTCACGCCTGTAATCCCAGCACTTTGCGAGGCCAAGGCGGGCAGATCATCTGAAGTCGGGGGTTTGAGACCAGCCTGACCAACGTGGAGAAACCCCATCTCTACTAAAAATACAAAACTAGCCGGGCGTGGTGGCGCATGCCTGTAATCTCAGCTACTGGGGAGGCTGAAGCAGGAGAATCGCTTGAACGCAGGAGGCAGAGGTTGCGGTGAGCTGAGATCGTGCCATTGCACTCCAGCCTGGGCAACAAGAGCAAAACTCTATCTCAAAAAAGAAAGAAAGAAAAAAAAAAAGGGGGTGGTTCCCTCAAGAAATCGAATCTTGGGCACTGGTGGACGGAAATGGGGTCTGAGTGGGCCCTCTGCAGGCTAATGATTTTCCTTTTCCTACTTCTTCCTTCTCCAAATGGTAATTCAGGGCCATGCTGTGCCAAGAACTGTTTTAGGCCAAGGGATGCAGTGGAGACAAAACAGACAAGTTCCCTGCCCTGGTGGAACTCATATTCTAATGGTGGAAACAATACATCCAATAAATAAAGTAAAATTATATAGGGTTAAATAATGGTAAGGAATAAGGAAAGAAATTAAGGAGGTGGATATAAAGTCTTGAGGGGCTGAAGTTTTAGATAAAGTGGCCAGGGAAGTCCCAGTGCAAAGGGAATTTTGAAGAAAAACCCGAAGGAAATGAGATATCTGTGGGGAAGAGCAGCCAGGGCAGAGGCAACAGCAAAGACAAAGGCCAGGGGTTGGGAGGTGCCCAGAGTGTTCCAGAGCAGTGAGCAAGTTGATGTGGCAGTCTCTTGGCAGAGGTGCCCAGGTCCTCTAGGGGCTCAAATTTGGTGGTGCAGGCCACAGAGGTGGGGAACTGCTCAGGATGGGTAAGGATGGTGTTTGTGGACCGTAGAGGTGCTGCTGGAATCAGGAGCTCTGTGTCCTGCTTGGGGTTTGGATTTTACTTGGGAGCTTCTCCTCAGCCCTGTGCACACCTCACCACTCAGCTTATCCTGTGCCCAGCTGAAAAATCTGTGTCTTGTCCCCATGGGGAAGAAAATAACAAGTAATGATTATCCTCATATTTAAGACTATGCCTCATGTTTGCCCAAGCTTATGATGATGTTTACACCTTGAATCTCATTTGATTGCCACAACAATTTGGTGAGATAGGCCACTATCTAGACTATCTAGAATAGATAGGTCAATATCGAGATCCCATTTTTTGGAGAGGAAACATGGGGCTCGGATAGGTTGAGTAGCCAGCTCGGTCACACATAGGACCTGGCAGGAGGTCAGGTCTCTGAGTCCCACTAGGAGGGATGGGGTAGGGATGGGATGGCTCCCTGAGGGGGTTCCTCTGCTCTCCTTCCTCCAGGCTATGTGAATTTCCGGCTGCAGTACCCTGAGCTCTTTGACAGCCTGTCCCCAGAGGCTGTCCGCTGCACCATTGAAGCTGGCTACCCTGGTGTCCTCTCTAGTCGGGACAAGTATGGCCGAGTGGTCATGCTCTTCAACATTGAGAACTGGCAAAGTCAAGAAATCACCTTTGATGAGGTTAGTGGGGGCTCGCCTGGCTCCCACCCTGTGGGCTGGGTTCCCTCCCTCAACCCTGGCCTCTACTGGGCCCTCATTCCTGGTTCTCCAGGAGGCAAGGTCTGTAGAGGGGGAAAGGTGGGCAGCCACCTGCCACCTAGCCCTTTCCAGGCAGGGAGAGAATTCCTAGGATGTGCCAGGGCAGCTGGAAAACCCAGTAGCTTTGCAGGTGGAGCTTGATGGTCAATAATACATGGCTCTTCCTGGGTATCCCTGCCAAGTGCCAAGTGGGGGTAACAGCTGTGTGCCATGAGCTGGGGGCTGCCCTGCCACATGCTAAATGCTGAGAGCAACAGAGAGAACAGGGATTAGTGGACTATAGGCTGGAAGAGATTCTGGAAAGCACAGGTTCCAATCTATTTAGGAGCCCGAGTTCTTTGTGCTCGCAAAATTGTGTACGCAATTTTGCTTGTCTGAGCCGTTAAGGGGGCTGCCCCAAGTTGGGGAATTAGGGTTTGTCTTGGGAGAACTTTGGCATGCGCCACTGAGCCTGAAAAAGATTCCTTTAATTTAAAAAAAAAACTGCTACAAACTTATTTTATTTTATTTATTTATTTTTGAGATGGAGTCTCGCTCTGGTCACCCAGGCTGGAGTGCAGTGGCATGATCTTAGCTCACTGCAACCTCCGCCTCCTGGGTTCGAGCGATCCTCAAGCCTCAGCCTTCCAAGTAGCTGGGATTACAGACGCACGCCACCATGCCCAGCTAATGTTTGTATTTTTAGTAGAGACGGGGTTTCACCATGTTGGCCAGGCTGGTCTCAAACTCCTGAGCTCAAGTGATCCGCCCACCTCGGCCTCCCAAAGTGCTGGGATTACAGGCATAAGACACCGCACCTGGCCCAAACTAATTTTAGATAATGCTATCTAGTTGTGCCAACACAATTTATTAAAAAGTCCATCTTTTTTCAATGACTTGAAATGCCATCTTTATCATGTTTTATATTTTCGTATGTGCTTGGTCTATTTCTGGACTTTCTATTCTGTTCCATTGGTCTCTTTATCTATTCATACTCCAATATCATACTGTTTCGATGATAGAGATTTTGTGGCATGTTTAATCTGTTAGGGCTAGTTTTGTCCTTAGTGATCTGCTTTTTGGGGGGCTTTTCTAGCTACTTTTGCATGTTTATTTCCCCCTATGATCTTCAGAATTAATTTGTCTAGCTTTAGGAGAAATATTAGGAGTATGTTTTGGGGATAATATTAAACATAAATAACAAGCTTGGGGAGAGCTGGCTTCTTTCAGAATGTCACATTCCTGGCCAGTTGTCCTATCCACAAATGTGAGATGCCTTCTGTTTTCTTCAAGCCTACTTTTGAGTTTTCAGGAGTGTTTTAAAGATTTCTTCATAAGCTATGACTGTGCTACTGCACTTCATCTGGGGGGACAGAGAGAGACTCTGCTTCTGAAAAATAAAAAGGTTTTAAAAATTTTTTCCTCACAACGTTGTGCACATTTTTCATTAAATTTGTCTTAGGTATTAATTTTGTTGTCATTGCTAAAAATGGGGCTCTTTCTTCCATTATATCTTCTAGTTGGTTATTGTTTGTATAAATGAAGGTTATTGTTTTTGTTTTTTAATTGTATATCCCCCTATTTTACTGAACTCTTTTAAAATTTATGTTAGTTTTATAATGGATTCTCTGGGGTTTTCTAAGTATACTATAATACTATCTGTAAGTAGAGGAGATAGTTTTTCTTCTCCCTTTCCACTTCTTATGCCCCTGATTTTTTTTTTTTTAACAAATTGATTGCATTGGTTAGTACTTTCAATATAGAATTAAATGGTGGCAGAGATGGTGAAGTCTTTATCTAATTCCTGATCTTAGTAAGGATGCCTCTAGGGTTTTCCCATCAAATAAGACACTGGCTGTAGGACTGAAATGCACACCTGCCTATCTGTGTGTATTAAGGAAGAGACTTAAATATATGTTTTTTCTTATTACGTAAGTGATATCTACTCATTTTAGAAAATACAAAAAATTGGCTGGGCGCAGTGGCTCATGCCTGTAATCCCAGCACTTTGGGAGGCCAAGGTGGGTGGATTGCCTGAAGTCAGGAGTTCGAGTCCAGCCTGGCCAACATGGTGAAACCCTGTCTGTCTCTACTAAAAATACAAAAATTAGCCAGGCATGGTGGCAGGCACCTGTAATCCCAGCTACTTGGGAGACTGAGGCAGGGGAATCGCTTGAACCTGTGAGGCAGAGGTTGCAGTGAGCCAAGATCGCACCACTGCACTCCAGCCTGGGTGACAGAGCAAGACTCCATCTCAAAAAAAAAATTACAGACAAATTTAAAATCATTTGCAATTCTACTACCTAGAGAGCTCTACTATTGACATCCTTCCAATCTTTTCATACATGTATGCACGCACATACACACACACACACACGCGCACACACACACACATTTTTCTTTTTTTTTTTTTTTTTGAGACACAGTTTTGCTCTTGTCGCCTAGGTTGGAGAGCAGTGGCGTGATCTCGGCTCACTGCAACCTCTGCCTCTCAAGTTCAAGTGATTCTCCTGCCTCAGCCTCCCAAAGTAGCTGGGATTACAGGTGCCTGCCACCATGCTCAGCTGATTTTTTTGTATTTTTAGTTGAGATGGGGTTTCACCATGTTGGCCAGGCTGGTCTTGAATTCTTGACCTCAGGTGATCCACCTGCCTCGGCCTCCCAAAGTGCTGGGATTATAGGCGTGAGCCACCGCACCCAGCCCACACATTTTTCTTACAATAATGGGATTATATTCTACAATAATATATCATGCACATTTTCCTGTATTATTAGTCTTCTGTATTGTTTTTAATTGTTCCAGAGTATTCCATGGCATAAATGTACCATAATTTCACCAGTTCCCATTGTTGGACATTTAGGTTGTCTCCAATGTTCCCACTATTGCAAGAGTACTGGGATAAACCTTCTGGCCTCTAAGCATGGATGTGACATTTGAACTTGTTTTCTTGGTATACATTCACAGAAGTGGAATGTCCGAGATCAAAGCCTGCAGCAAATTACCCCAGTGAAGAATGTACCAATTAGCTCTCCCCTCAGGACCTCAAGCCTTAATTATTGTTGCGGGTTAGATCTTACAGCCTGTTCTCTCTGTGCCCAAGATCTTGCAGGCATATTGCTTCATCCTGGAGAAGCTGCTGGAGAATGAGGAAACTCAAATCAATGGCTTCTGCATCATTGAGAACTTCAAGGGCTTTACCATGCAGCAGGCTGCTAGTCTCCGGACTTCAGATCTCAGGAAGATGGTGGACATGCTCCAGGTGAGGCTTAGAGTTCTGTCGCACGGCAGCCTCCCACAGCTGGGGAGGCTGAGAGGCTGGGCCTCCTTTCATGGTGCTTGCAGGGAACTGAGAAGTTGGACCACCTCGCGCCATAAAGAGCAGTGACAGCCACAGTCCCAACCATAAGCACCTGCATAGTGATTGACAGTTTGCCAAGTATTCCCTTTCATTCTTCCATCGACTCCTTGAGAGCATTCTCTCCCTCCTTCCCTGCTTCATTTTTCAAACCTGGAAACGAAGGCTCAGAGATTTAAGAGACATCTCGAGGTCACACAGCAATAAAGCGGCAGAGGCCAGACTTGAACCTGCATCTTCTGACCTGGAATCCCATGTTGTCTGTCCACATATGTCGCACTGCCTCTCTTTGAATGTGGATTCACCCCGAGAAAGGGATTATCACTAACCCTCTGATAACTCACTCCTATATGTGCTGACATGTCAGGAGTCCTTTCTTAGAGCCATCTTAGATCTGCTCTGTGTATTGGGAAAGGAGGGGTGGGAGGTGGAGGTTGTGGGAGGGGCTGATGGACAATGAGGGATGATAATACTGTTCCTGTCGTTTGTAATAGTTTGCAGTCCCTTCGGCAGGCAAGTGGGTTTGAAAAAACTCACCAAAAGGTCAAGCAAGGCTACTTTCATTTCTTTTCCTAATTCCCAGTTTAATTTGCATCAGCAGGGAGAGGGTTGGGTCTTATGAATCTTGGGGCTTCCTCCGTGCAGTCTGGGCCACAGTGAGCCAGGGATCCCTAGTTGCTGGCCTGGAAATAGGACCTTCAGTGGGCCCTTCTCCAGGGCAGCCCTGTGATGCTGGACAAGTCTGTTCTATGCCATGAGGAGAGGCAGCAGGGAATGAGTGGGAGCCTCTGAGGTCACTGGGGCCATGGGGAACGGGGTATCTCTCTGTCACCGCAGGATTCCTTCCCAGCCCGGTTCAAAGCCATCCACTTCATCCACCAGCCATGGTACTTCACCACGACCTACAATGTGGTCAAGCCCTTCTTGAAGAGCAAGCTGCTTGAGAGGGTGAGTACGTGGGCCGCCCAGACAATGAGACAAGAGGGCTGAGGGTGGGGCCTCACCTGAGCCCTCCTCACACTCTACCATGGTCCTGAGCTATGTGGATCCCACTGACACCCAACATGGAGACCTGCGGAGAGAGGTGTCGCCAGGCAAAGACTGCACATGATGGGGCTTTGTCCTCCTGCCCCTTTCCTCCCTCAACCCTCATCCTTAGGGCACCTCCTCCTGCTCAGTTCTGTCTCCCTTGCTTCCCTGCAGGTCTTTGTCCACGGGGATGACCTTTCTGGTTTCTACCAGGAGATCGATGAGAACATCCTGCCCTCTGACTTCGGGGGCACGCTGCCCAAGTATGATGGCAAGGCCGTTGCTGAGCAGCTCTTTGGCCCCCAGGCCCAAGCTGAGAACACAGCCTTCTGAAAACATCTCCTGCCAGCTGAACTGTAGTTAGAATCTCTGGGCCTCTCCTCAACTGTCCTGGACCCAAGGCTAGGAAAGGGCTGCTTGAGATGACTGTGGTCCCCCCTTAGACTCCCTAAGCCCGAGTGAGCTCAGGTGTCACCCTGTTCTCAAGTTGGGGGATGGGTAATAAAGGAGGGGGAATTCCCTTGAACAAGAAGAACTGGGGATAGTTATATTTCCACCTGCCCTTGAAGCTTTAAGACAGTGATTTTTGTGTAAGGTTGTATTTCAAAGACTCGAATTCATTTTCTCAGTCATTTCCTTTGTAACAGAGTTTTACGACTTAGAGTCTGTGAAAACAGGCAAGGAGCCCGGGTTAAAATATCCCCCTATTCGCCCCCAAAATGCAATAAAAGAAGATAAAAGAGAGAGGATATATGTTCAAATGATTTGGCAAACGCAGCAGTCCTGGTGGCCTCTAGGCAGGCTGGGAGTTTTCCACACAGAATTCCAGGGTGGAAGAGGCCTGGAAGTGGCTTCATTCAGGGGTGGCCTCCTCCCCTTGCTGAGGTGCAGTCTGACGTGTGTGGGGTGGTCAGGAACTTGGACCTCTTTCCAGGGTGGCAGTCATGTTCCCTCCATCTGTCTGGGAGAAGGAGTCTTTCCACCAAAAGCTGTCTCCTCCAGTCCCCTTGCCTGGATGGACAGTTCTACTTCGAATTATAAGTGGCATCTTCTCTGAGCACTCACTCAGTCCTCAAGTTATAGAGTTAAAGCTCTTTTTTTGTCTTCACTCTCAGGCATTTTACGGTGATGAACTTACACTTTCCAAATCTGCATTTTTTTTTTTTTTTTTTTTGAGACAGGGTCTCACTTGTCACCCAGGCTGGAGTGCAGTGGTGCAATCACAGTTCACTGCAACCTCAAACTCCTGGGCTCAAGCAAGCCTCCTGCCTCAGCCTACTGAGTAGCTGGGACTACAGGCGCATACCACTGCACCCAGCTAATATTTACATATTTTTTGTAGAGGTAAGTGTCTGGCTCTATTGCCCAGGCTGGTCTCCAACTCCTGGCTTCAAGCCATCCTTCCACCTCAGCCTCTCAAGGTGCTGGGATTATAGTTGTGAGCCACCATGCCTGGCCCAAATCTGCATATTTTGACAAATACAAATGCTTTCCTTCTGTGGAGTTGGCTTTCCTCAAGTGCTTGGTGATTTTCAGGTGTGTGCTCATTTCTGTAGGTGAGAATCCCTGTTAGATGCCCTGTTTGCTGAGCATGCTGTTCCCTCTTGGGTAAGTGCTGGCTTCTTCTGGGCATGGGTCTCCTGAGCATTGACAGATACTTTTTCCAAGATGCTACACTCATTTTCCCACATGGAAGCAGACGCTGGCTGGCTAGTGGCAGTAGGCGAGGCTTGTTGTTCCCACCAAGGCATCCCAGTCAATCAACCCAAGACTTGTCTGCTCTTGCCTGTAGGGTCACCCCCATTCTTTGTGGGTATCAAGCACCCTTAGTGCTGCACCTACCTTTTGGGCCAGGATATTCCAACCGTTTTCTGGACTTTGGATTCAATTCAGTCCTATCTGCTTTCACACCTTTGGGAATTTCTCTGATCCACTGAGAGTTCTCTTTCTTGCTTTTCAGTGAGGCTGTGTACATGTTCATGTATATGTCAATGTATACATATGTGTGTGTGTGGGTGTATATATATATATATTTATAAATAGATATATATATGCACTTATTTCTTACATACTTTCTTCTCTCACTCCTAGGGTTTGTAGTGTATGCTCATTACCCAAGAAACTTCCTTCTTTATAACATTCACAGTCAACAAGCCATGGTCATAAAATCCATGAAAACAAAAATGGTATTTACATAGGACTCCTAGGCTGGAGGAGGAATCACAGCAAATTATTATGGGCAGAAGGGTAGGAGATCAACCAGTGAGGATTTTGTCCCAAAAGTTGAGGCTTCATTTTTGCAAATGAAATCTCACATGGAACCTTGGTATTTAAACCTAAAAAGGGCAGGCATGTGGCTCATGCCTATAATCTCAGCACTTTGGGAGGCCGAGGCAGGAGGATTGCTTGAACGTGGGAGTTTGAGACCAACCTGGGCAACATGGTGAAACCCACCTCTACAAAAAATACACAAATTAGTTGGGCATGGTGGTGCACGCCTGTAG
The DNA here is from genome assembly GCF_000001405.40 of Homo sapiens. Classification (NCBI taxonomy): domain Eukaryota; kingdom Metazoa; phylum Chordata; class Mammalia; order Primates; family Hominidae; genus Homo; species Homo sapiens. The sequence continues at coordinate 89,208,113 of NC_000015.10, read as the reverse complement.
TCCCCACTACTCAGGAGGCTGAGGTGGGAGGATCACCTGAGCCCAGGAGGTCGAGGCTGCAGTTAGCCATGGTTGTGCCACTGCACCCCAGCCTGGACAACAGAGGGAGACCCTGTATCAACAAAACAAAACACAACACCAACCTAAAAAGAATGAAGCTGCTCTGGTAGAAGGGGCCTCACCCTGAGAGATCGCTTATGAACATCTGGAGCTAAGAAGGTATTTCAAGTACGAGAACTGTCAATGGTGCTTTGGGGTCATGTGAGAAAGGAATAGAGACTAGTGTTTGCCAAGGTGGAGGGCACTGGTGACCTGCGTGGAGGTGTTGATGGAAGGGGGTGGTGATGAGGCTGAGTTAAATAATTAAAAGGAATGGGTATTTTTGGCCAGGCGCAGTGACTCATGCCTGTAATCCCAGCACTTTGGGAGGCTGAGGTGGGCAGATCACTTGAGGTCAGGATTTGAGACCAGCTTGGCCAACATGGTGAAACCCCATCTCTACTAAAAATACAAAAATTAGCCAGGCATGGTGGCAGGGACCTGTAATCCCAGCTACTCGGGAGGCTGAGGCAGGAGAACTGCTTGCACCCGAGAGGCGGAGGTTGCAGTGAGCCGAGATCGCACCACTGCACTCCAGCCTGGGTGACAGAGAGAGACTCCGTCTCAAAAAAGAAAGAAAAAAAGAATGGGTATCTTTTACGTTTTCATGATATACTTCTAATTTTTCCTTAAGACCTGGGTCCTAAATCTGAGGGAAACACTGGTTGATCCCTATCCACTGACTCCCATCTTCCCCGGAGCCCCGAGCTGCCAGGTGCCCTCCTGGACACAGTCCAGGTCCACTCTGAATTTGTGGCAGCTCTAAATATATAAATGAAATCAGGCACATGCTGAGCAGAAGACTCTTGGGGCAGCCCTAGCTCCTACTCAAACCCGAATGGGATGCTGGGGTCGTCCCTAAGGTCAGCAGGGCTGGGGCCTTAGCCCAGGGACCCCGTCTGATAAGAAAACCAAGTGGCTTTCTGAGGAAGAAGCCATAGGGGTTGGGAATCCCGCGAGCCGGCTCTGAATGTGTGCTCGCGCCGCCCCCTGCTGGCCGTGCCCTGACACTGCCCCTCCAGGGACAAGCTGGGCAGGAGGGTTAGCTGGGTGGGCTGGGCCAGACCTTGCCTGAGAAGGTGGTGCCGCTTTTGGGAAAACGTGTCTGAAGACTACCAATGTTAAAATCTGACGTGCTCAGCTTCACAAAATCCCAGCTGCCTGTGTGTGTGATTCCTACAAATGGCCCCCACATTATTGGAGAGAGACAATAAAATACTCTTTTGAAGGCCACCAGCTATGGGAAGGGGGACAACAAAACGTGAATTTTATGACAACCATTTGGTGCCCATAACAACTTCCTTTCTGGGGATATCTGATTTTTTTTTTTGTTTGTTTGTTTGTTTGTTTTTTTTTTTTTTTTTTTTTTTGAGACGGAGTTTCGCTTTTGTTGCCCAGGCTGGAGTGCAATGGTGAGATCTCAGTTTACCGCAACCTGCACTTCCCGAGTTCAAGCGATACTCCTGCCTCAGCCTCCTGAGTAGCTGGGATTACAGGCATGCGCCACCACGCCCAGATAATTTTGTATTTTTAGTAGAGACAGGGTTTCTCCGCATTGGTCAGGCTGGTCTTGAACTCCTGACCTTAGGTTAGCCTCCCGCCTTGGCCTCCCGAAGTGCTGGGATTACAGGCATGCGCCACCGCACCCGACACTTTCTGGGGACATCTGGGATAAGGCAGGGATTCTGCCTCATCAAAGTAATTTGAGGGTTGGAAGGTTGCAGCAGTGCATTTCTGCCATGCTAATGTGGACGTTGGGAGAATGGAGACAGCAGAGTCTGGAGGCAATTCATCAAGCTGTGGGTGGAGGTCTCAGGAAGGAAGCGGGCACCAGCTTCAGAGAGCCTCTCAATGAGATTGGCCACTGCCTCGGGTTTACCCAGGGGAAAGTGGAGGAGGTTAGTGCTGCCTGGGGGCCTGGCAAAGCCTTACTAGAAGAGGTATACCTTTCTCTTAACTCAAGCTAGCAGGAAAAGAGGTGAAGTGGACTACTGCTGATCCCCCCCCCCCTTTTTTTTTTTTCTTTTTCTTCTCTTTTTTTGAGACAGAGTCTCACTCTGTCACCCAGGCTGGAGTGCAGTGGTGTGATCTCGGCTCACTGCAACCTCTGCCTCCCAGCTTCAAGCGATTCTCCTGCCTCAGCCTCCCGAGTAGCTCGGATTACAGGTGCATGCCACCACACTCGGCCAATTTTTGTATTTTTAGTAGAGACAGGGCTTCACTATGTTGGCCAGGCTGGTCTCGAACTCCTGACCTTAGGTGATCTTCCCACCTCGGCCTCCCAAAGTGCTGGAATTACAGGCATGAGCCACCATGCCTGGCCTCTGATCCCACTTTCGGTTAGGGGTTTGGCTCTGGAGTTGAGGAAGCTCAGAATTGTCAAATCTGGAAGCTTGTGGGATCTCCTGGAGCCTCACTACTCAAAGGGCGGTCCAAGGAGGGCTGGACCTTGGAGCTCCCCATGGGAGCCACATCTCAGACATGCTGCATCAGAATCTGCATTTTTAACAAGACCCCCAGAGGATTGCACATTAAACAACCAATCAGGCCAGGCACAGCAGCTCACACCTGTAATCCCAGCACTTTGGGAGGCTGAGGCGGGAGGATTGCTTAAGGCCAGGAGTTCAATACCAGCCTGGGCAACACAGCAAGACCCTGTTTCTACAAAAAAAAAAAAAAAAAAGGAAAAATCAGCCAAATGCAGTGTAGTTTTAGCTACTAAAGAGGCTGAGGCAGGAGGATCTCGAGTCTGGGAGTTCGAGGCTGCCTGAGCCATGATCACACTACTGCTCTCCTATTAATAATGGGCAACAGAGTGAGACCCTGTCAGAGAGGAGAGAGAGAGAGAGAGAGAGAGAGAGAGAGAGAGAGAGAGAGAGAGAGAGAAGGCAATCAATGCTTACAAAACCGTGGTTGTCTACCTCCCAGCAGGTGGCTCAAATGTGCACTGCTTTAAACCCTGTATGTTGACATATGGAGGTGAGGATATGGAGGAACCCCCACTCTAGTAAGTATTCATATCTGTGGGTTTAAAGGCAAACCTTGCATGTGAGCAGAGAACAGAGAAGAAGGCTGCAGGAGCCCTGTGGGAAGACTGCAGCTGACAGGCTAAATGTCCCAGAATAAGCAAGTTCCACTGTGGGGCTGTGCCCGGAAGTCGCCTTGCCAGTAGGCAGGACATGTATACACCTTGATTTCTCAAGGTGCCCACATATGAAGGAAAAGACAAGGATTAGAGTTTGATGGTGCACACAACGTGGCTCGTCAGCACTTCTGAGCCCAGGAATGTTTTTGGAAACTATAACCAGGACGGGCTCTGCTTTCCTCGCAGCCCATCAGTTAGACGCTTTGATGTGGAGCTGGACCATGTCAGACACTTTGCTTGTAGTTTCTACCTTGGAGATGATGTATGAGTGGGAACAAAACAGATCAAGCCAAACCACTGTCCAAAGTAACATCAGCACTCTGAAAAATATCATCTGAACCTCTCAATTATCCTGAGGTAGGCATTCTTAGTATAATTATTCCCATAGGTAAATTAAATAAATAAATAAATAAATAAATAAATAACAATCCGAGGTTAAATCCTGCTTAGGATCAAAGAGCTAGAAATGGCGAGGATGGGACCCTGACCCAGCAACTCTGGCTCCAAATCTCTCTGGCTCTGTTGTTACTCGTGCTTTGTCTCCAGTGTTTGTTTCACTTATTTCTGGGGATGGGAGAGGTGCAGGCAGAAGGGAGAAGAAACAATGAAATGAGAATTTCATATATTTCAGGTTAATTTCACCAACTATCATCAGATGAGGAGGAAATGACTTTAAGAGGAAACCAGTCTTCAGCAGAGATGCTGGGGTAAATGTGGTAGATAGCATGACTCAAAAGGAAGGTGTGGGTGACACAAAGCCACATGGAGAGAGGTATTTAATTTTATCCCCTTTGGGGAGGGGTTCACCAGTTCGAGGCCAAATTGCCCGTCATGTCTTTCAACCACTCTGATATATGGTAGCACTTTCATGTAACTCCCTCTAAAGACACCCAAGAGAGAAGTGAGGAGGGGAGGCTGTCATATGAAGGGCCATCCAGTAAGGTGTTTGATCCTCACCAAGGGAAAGTACTCCCTATAGGACTAGAGCAGAGAGGCCAGTTAATGAAAGGTAAAATAAAAAGTAGCATGACTGGGGCAGTGAGTGAGGTGTCACTGAACACAAATGCTGTATGGCTGCCTCAGGAGAGGGCAGCTATGTGTGCTACTGGTCCTGCCTGACCACATTGGCATGCAGCTGGCACTGACCTCCCCAATGCCCTGGACCTGAAATCTCTTCCATGTAGTCTTTTCATAGGTAGTATTCTTTGCAAGTTGGTTTTCTTGGGCCAAAATAGTCTGGCTATATTGTGGGGGATATGAATCGAGGGAAAGCTTGCTGACCAGAGAGGGAAGAATTTTGAAATTTGCCACTAGGCATTTTTAGGTTTTGTTAATGCACAACTTCTAAAGCTAACACTCCCCACCCTGCCTAACTTGACGAAGGTTTTGTGTGGCCAAGGAGGGAAGGGAGCTGTGTGTCTCTTGGGGGTGGTAGAACCCTCCTGGCTGAGCCAGTGCTTGGTCCTGGGAGACCCTTAGCTTGGGTTCAGACAGATTCAAAGAAGAAAACACCACCAGCACCCAACCAACCCAATATAATCTTGACTTAGGAAATGTTCACTTAGTCTTTTTTTTTTTTTTTTGAGATGAAGTTTCACTCTTGTGCCCAGGCTGGAGTACAGTGGCGTGATCTCGGCTCACCACAACCACCACCTCCAGGGTTCAAGTGATTCTCCCGCCTCAGCCTACTGAGTAGCTGGGATTACAGGTATGCGCCACCACGCTCAGCTAATTTTGTATTTTTAGTAGAGAGAGGGTTTCTCCATGTTGGTCAGGCTGGTCTCGAACTCCCGACCTCAGGTGATCCACCCGCCTCGGCCTCCCAAAGTGCTGGGATTACAGGCGTGAGGCACCACACCCGGCCTCACCTGTTCTTTTCAAAGAACATTATTGGAAAAGCATACAAATCACACACGGCAAGCACCATTTACACCTTGCCTTGTATTTTGTCTTCATGATCCACTTTAAGAAGTGATTAAAACACTGAGGCTGGGCATGGTGGCTTACAACTGTAATCCCAACACTTTGGTAGGCCAAGGCAGGAGGACTACTTGAACTCAAGTTTGAGACCAGCCTGGGCAACATAGCAAAAAACTAAAAACTAAACAATTAGCCAGGTGCAGTGGCAAGTCCCTGTAGTCCCAGCTACTCGGTAGGCTGAGGCAGGAGGACTGCTTGAGCCCAAGAGGTCAAGGCTGCAGTGAGCTGTGATCATGCCACTGCACTCCAGCCTGGGCCACAGAGCAAGAACCTCTCTCTAAAAAATTAAAAAAGTAGAAAAGAGATACTTCACTTATTTTAGTTCTTGGCTTTCTTGCCCGGAGAAGATGGGGTTGTGAAGACACTTGTGGCCTGGTCAAGGTTTTGGTATTTGTTTGCAAGGATGGACTAACATCAATTGTGGTGCAAAAATGGGGTTTTGTGTATTTCCATTAATCTCATACTTTGGTGAAGACACAGGAAGAATCCTTTCAGATGGAAAACTGGCACTATACAAAGGACACATAGCCACACCACATTTTTAGTCTTTATTTTTTAGGTAAATTCCATTGAATCAAATATAACAAAATTACAGTTTTTGTTTGTAATGATCTTTGTTCACCACCACACAATCATAGTAGAATCAAAAGTAATATGAGAACATAAAATGATCAAGGACATCAATGTTTAGTATAATTTCTTAATAAAGGTAAATATCCCCATATTTAGAAAAAATTGCATTGCTAGTTGCAAATCTTAAACACCTCAGTGCTGAAGGATCCTGTATTTCCCCCCAAAGATCCAGCAGCACGGAGGCTTTCAGAACACAAACTCAAAAATATAGTATTTTCGGGGCAGCATTTTAAGTTTCAGAAAACCCAAACAAAACAAAACAAAATCAGAATCAGGAATGTGAAAGTGATGGTGCTCTAAAAATCAATCTGGAAGCAGATCTGCCAACATAAGAATGTGGTTGAACAGAGTCTAACCAGGAAAAGGAGAGATGCGAACTCGCTCCCCCTCCCCTCTCGCCATCGTCCCCCGCCCCCAGCGAGCAAGCCGCCCCCTGCTCTGCGCTGTCTCTCCAATGGCGTCTGCCTCCGGGGCCACGGCGAAGCACGAGCAGATCCTGGTCCTCGACCCGCCCATAGACCTCAAATTCAAAGGCCCCTTCACAGATGTAGTCACTACAAATCTTAAATTGCGAAATCCATCGGATAGAAAAGTGTGTTTCAAAGTGAAGACTACCGTGCCTCACCGGTACTGTGTGAGGCCCAACAGTGGAATTATTGACCCAGGGTCAACTGTGACTGTTTCAGTAATGCTACAGCCCTTTGACTATGATCCGAATGAAAAGAGTAAACACAAGTTTATGGTACAATTTTTGCTCCACTAAACACTTCAGATATGGAAGCTGTGTGGAATGAGGCAAAACCTCATGAATTAATGGATTCCAAATGGAGATCCCCAATGAAAATGATAAATTGAATGACATGGAACCCAGCAAAGCTGTCCCACTGAATGCATCTAAGCAAGACGGGCCCACGCCACAACCACACAGTGCTTCACTTCATGATACTGAAACAAGGAAACTAACAGAAGAGTGTAAAAGACTTCAGGGAGAAATGATGAAGCTATCAGAAGCAAATCAACACCTGAGAGATGAAGGTTTAAGGCTCAGAAAGGTAGCATATTCGGATAAACCTGGATCAACCTCAACTGCATCCTTCAGAGATGTCACCAGTCTTCTTCCTTCACTTCTTGTTGTAATTGCAGCCATTTTCACTGGATTCCTTTTCTTTTTTTGGAGACGGAGTCTCACTCTTGTTGCCCAGGCTGGAGTGCAGAGGCGTGATCTCGGCTCACTGCAACCTCCGTCTCCTGGGTTCAAGCAATTCTCCCACCTCAGCCTCCCGAGTAGCTGGGATTACAGGCGCCCGCCACCACACCCAGCTAATTTTTGCATTTTTAGTAGAGAAGGGGTTTCACCATGTTGGCCAGGCTGGTCTTGAACTCCTAACCTCAGGTGATCTACCCGCCTCGGCCTCCAAAGTGCTGGGATTACAGGAGTGAGCCACTATGCCCGGCCTTCATTGGATTCTTTCTAGGGAAATTCGTCTTGTAGAGCAAAGCATGCAGAGTGCTATTTCTTTTTTTTTTCTCTTGACCAGAAGATTTGTTTACCTACCATTTCATTGGTAGTATGGCCTGCGGTGACCATTTTTTTGTGTGTGTACAGCGTCATACAGGCTTTGCCTTTAATGATCTCTTATGGTTAGAAAACACAATAAAAACAAACTGGCTACTGGACAAATTGTATATTACCAGATCATCACTAGCAGCTTTCAGTTGCACTTCAGTCCTTTATCAAATTCATAAAGAATTGTTCTGGGAAGTGAGGAGCACCTCTGCCTGGCCACCCTGTCTGGGAAGTGAGGAGCCCCGCTTCCCGGGAGCCGCCCCATCTGGGAAGTGAGGAGCGCTTGCCTGGCCGCCCAACTGTCTGGGAAGTGAGGTGTGCCTGTGCCTGGCTGCCGCACTGTCTAGGAAGTGAGGTGCGTCTCTGCTGCCCGCCGCCCCATCTGGGAAGTGAGGAGCGCCTCTGCCCGGCTGCTGTGCAATCCTGCAAGTATGAAGTGACAGCCTTGTGTGTGATCTTTCTGCCCTCCCCAAGTTTGCATTTTCGACATTAAAATTTACTTTTTAATTAAAAGTTTTAAATTGGAGAATTAAAAAAAAAACTAATTTCAGCTTATTATTACTAGAGATGCATGAAAGCTCTACCCACATACATGCTAGGAAAAACAGTTCAGAAAACACAGGGGACTGACTCTTCCAAAAGGAGCAGCTGTCTACTCTGCGGCCTGCTTCCAAGGGCCACTGTGGGAGGAAGCCTGGGCTGCAGCGTTCCGAGGCAGCAGCAGCAGAGGGGAAGGAAGGAAGCAGGCCTTGCCTTGTGTGGCATTCCAGTTCCCTCTCCCAGCAGGGGCCAGATTCCCCTTCCTTAGCTTCAACTACAATTTGGCGAAAGCAATTCTAGGGTAATCGGGGGCAGTGAGGGGTGGGGGGCGGTGAGAGGTTTACTTCCCTCTGCTTAGATAACAGAGGTAGAAGAAACCCTTTCTGTCAATTGCTTGGCCTCTAAATGCCACAGGCAGGCTACTTTTCATGGCTGTTCGAAGCATCCAAGCAATCCAAAGTGGCTTTGAACAACAGAGTAAGGCCAAGAAGGGCAAAAAGGGACCAGAGCTGAGGTGTTTGGGCCAGTTCTGGATCACTCATATTGTTGAGGGAGGGGTGGGGGCATAAGATAACAAGGAGCCTACAGGCCACTTGAGGAAATTCTCTGGTTTTGCTGCAGCTTCGCTTCAAACTTCCACAGCAGAAGAGTTGGAATTCTAATGCCGCAATATCGTTGTAATACCAGGGATTCTCTAGAGGCAAGTTAAGGCTTTCTGGGCAAAGAAAACAATTCCAGATGATATTGTGATAGAATGCTACAGTGAAATGCTTCTTAATGACTCTCCTGTCCTGCCTAAAGGACAAAGACCTATGAGTGACTTCAACTTGACGTGATGTTTCAGTGATCTTTTACTTCAGCTCTAAGTCAGAATCAATGCCACAGGAAAAGAAAAGCTTCTTACATCTCAGACATCTGCTTGCTGAGCAAACACAAACAAGAACACATGTATTGTTTCCCAGGAGCTGGCAAACTAGATCTCAAGTCACACAGTTACAAAGAGAGCTCTCATTCAGATGCCGGGCATATAAGCTCAGCTACCCAGAAAGTTCAGCTTTAATGAAGACTGTAGTTTTAGAATGAAAGCCTGAGCAGGAAGGATTTCTGCCCTGGGAATTCTCAATGCTCTGCCTGAGTCACACTGGAGGATGGAGATAGGCTCCTCATTCCAGCGGCCAGCAGCTGCCACAGTCACAAGACCACCCTCCAAACAGCAAGGGTCTTACGATGACAACGGGGACTCTGAAGAGAAGCCAGTCAAAGACACAGGGCTTTGGACAAGATCAAGGGTCTTCACCAGGAAAGCTTAATGCAGAAGCCCCCTCCCTCCAAGTCCCCTCAGCGTGAGCCTTGAGCCTTGACACAGCTGTTTCCACCTGCAAGGGCTGGAGAGGCCAAGTTCACGCAGATGTTCAGCAATGTTCAAGCAAATGATGTGTAAATAGATGAAGTGGTCTTAGAGATGGTCTAAGAGGAGGGAACAGGCTCAGAGAGGTGAGGTGATTTGCCCACGATCCAATGTGAATTAGAGACCATTAGGACACGAACTCAGGTATATTTCCACTCTTACGGTGAATCATAAGGTTCCCAGTAAGTGTAAAATGCTGCAGAGAGGTTAAAAGAATATTGTAACCAACAGCTTTCTGCTTTCATTCTGCTCTGGAATCATTTGTGTAAACTCACAGCAGGAAAAGATAACAGTTTTCTTCAAGTCTGTTAAACTCACTTCTAACATAAAAACATTAAAGAAACTTGACACCATTTTTTGAGTCAGTTAATCCTAATTTGACTGGAATCAGTTACTTGTAAGTGTCTTCAAATTGCTTATGAGACACGGAGTGCTACAGGAGAGATGTGGGTGCTTCTCCCCATTGGTTTTTAACATATTATTCCTGCAATGGAATTGTCCAGATTGATGCAATTTATAGCCTCAATTTGATTCTAAAATATATTCAAATACTCTTTAAAAATTCAGCCTTGTTTTAGCCCAAATAGAACCTTACTAGCAAGAGGGGGATTCATATACTCATCAGAAATGAATGACTTTGGGAAGAAAGGCAAGGACACCTGGAGGAAGGAAAAAAGATGACCTATCTATAAACTGCCACTCCCTCATTTATCAGGCAAGTTTGCAGCTCTGTGAATTCAATGCCTCTGTGCTCTCATTCAGGGACAAACAAGAATTTTCCTGTAAGACAGCCACAGTCACATTCTCATTTCCATGCCTAAGAGCCTGAAGCTTGAACAAAGGGCTTCAGTTAGTTTCATGTGAGCCAAAATGGAATGTGAGTGCCATTCAGAGCCACACACTAAAAAGATTTCAGCTGGGACACTGGCTCCCACAGTCCTGGGGGAGCAAATTCCGGTTGTGTGGCAACAAAGGCTATGCTGCCAGCCCTGCCTGTCCTCCACAGGGGCCACCAGGACTGCCGTGCAGACCAGGCTCCACCCTCCCCCACACCGGTTTGTGTGACAACAGGGCTGTCTTTTCTCTTCCTGAATTTCTGAATGGAGCTGGTACATGGGCCAGCCACTATTTTGTCAGAACAGGTTAAGGGGTGTGGCCTCAGGCATATGAAAGGAGCCTCTCGCTCTTCTGGGGTGGTGATTCAGTCCTAGGAAGTTATTGCTTGGTTTACCTATTCTCATAAAAAGTCTTGATAAATGAAGGTAGTAGTAGCAGAAATATGACTATGAATGTTCTAGATCACAGCTGTAGTTGGGTGAAGGGAAAAGTAACAGAGGAGAGGGGCTAACTTCCAAACTGAGAGGGTAAAGTGCCAGTCTGTGCTAAAAGAACGTGAAAAGGAAACCTATTAGAGAAATAATACACTGGGGGGAAAGTCATAATGATAGAGGCTGGTGAGTGCCAGAAATTATACCAAAGCGAAGTTGAGACCACAGAAATCTCAGTCTCTGAGATAAGGGCTGCTTTTGATGTCATTCGGATGATTTGGTGATTGTCAGAAAACAACTTCTTCAGGTTACAGACCTGGACCCATGCCCACGGGTCCCGTCACAGTCACTTGGACCCGTGCCCAAACCACACCCACCTGTGGCCCTGAGGGTTGGCACTCAGGCGCCCAGGTGGCTCCTTTGATCCCTGAAACATCCATGCAGACCCACTACTTATATTCCAGTCTGTCCTGGAGTCAAAGGAGATGAAGGAGGAAAAATATCTTTTTAAAGTATCCAGGCAATTTTACTCATAGTTCTGTTTAGTTCCAGATAGCAACAGCTGATTGTTCAAAGTGCAGGGTTTTTGGATATTCAAGTACCACAGGATCGGAGAAAAGGAGTACTTGAAACCTAGAGTTGCGTTTTCACTTGAGAAGACACACTTTGGAAACACCTATCCAACAGACTACAAATATAGGCTATTAAATTAAAAATCTGGTTTCAAAATAATACCCACTTAGGTTGGAAATATCTTTCTCCAAACTCAGATCCAACTTTTGAATTGTTTGGTATCAAAGGCAAAGTTAGAGGGACTTGGGTTTAAAAACTAAAATTACAAGTGAGTGCTTAAAAAAAAAACAACTCAAAACATCTTTTTATCAAATAAGGGACACACACACACAAAAGGCAAACGATGATATCTACATGCTTAGACTGGGAGAGCAGCTCCCAGGCTCCCCTGGAGGGATGTTCTCTCAAACCTCAGTAAACTGAGTTTGTCATTGAACTTTGAACCTGGTAGTGAGCTCAGCAATCTACCTGGTCCAAGTCCCCCATTTTAGAGGTGAAGAAATTGAAGTCCACAGCGACTTTGTCCAGGGTGAAAAGCAGAGCCAGGGCACAGCCCAGATGCTCAGCCCACCCAGAGCCCTTCTGAGACATCACACTGTGGTCACACGACGGCAGCTCCATAGCCGGCCTTGCTGCTCTGGAGACCGTGGGAGCTAGAGGACACCCCTGATTATGAATTTCAATAAAACGAGCTGCAAAGATGTTTCCAATTTAAGGGCGCTGTTGAACAGCATTTCCAAAATTTGCTTGGTGATGAGAATCATCTGGGGCACTTGTGAAAAATTAAAATCCCCAGGCTCCTTCCCAGACCCAGTGAATCAGCCTCTCCGAGGGGAGGGACCTGGGAGGCTGAATTTTTAACAAGTGCCTCACGTAACTCTCAGCAGCAGCAAAGCGTAGGGAAATGGTCTCAGGAGACAGGGCGAAAACTTGGCTTGTGACTCAAAGGAATTTCCTTTGCCGTTTAAGAAGCCACACTCTGGCCTGGGAAGCCTGGGTTCTCAGGCTCCCAAGCGGAGCTGTGTCTTCAGCATTGGCCTGGAAGGGTGAGCTCTTTTTAAGGTCTATGTAAGGACACATACAACCACCACAAAATGACATACATCCTTCACTGTTCTCAGGGAAAAGCCTTTTGGTGGCAAAGCAAAATCGCTATTCAGACACATTTTTAATAGGGAAACTAGATGTACTTGGCTTAAAAGCAACCAGATGCTGAAACTGGACAGAGGGCAAGAACTCTGTCACTTGTCACCATGCCTAACAATGCAATGGAGAAAACCAGTAACTAAGCACAAAAATAGCCTGGAGCTCCCAGGAAGAGCTGCCTACTCCGAGACAGGTGTGCATGGTGGGTGCCCCCTGCTGATGGTGTGAGGTCAGATCCAGGTCACTGAGGGAGATGGGAGACCTGAAACAGGGGGTGAGGGGACGCAGCTTCCAGAGGAGGGCTGCTGGAGCGTGCCAGAGTCCGGAGGCCTCACTCCAGGTCGGCCTCCACCTGCTCCGTGTCAGAGCACTGCAACTTGTTACGCTCCCATTGGCAAATGGCGTTGGCGTACTCCACCACCAGCTTATCCATCCATGTCAGGGGCTCGGGGAACAGCACAGAGCCCTCAAAGAAGCCCAAGTGGCCCCCATGCAGAGGCAGCACAAACATGACGTTCTCTCGTTTCTCTGCAGGGGAAACGCAGCTGAGTGAGTTACTGTTCTCTAGTTTGCTCCAGGACAGGAGGTGCAGAGGTGAGCTGGCTAGGGTAGCCTGGCTGTCCCCGCAGGGTCACCTAAGTGGGCATCCAACCTCTACTCACTCTGCCTTGTTCACCAAAGAGGGGGCAGGCAAGACAGTGGCATCTAGCAGGTTTTAGAGTACAGCTTGGCTTTGGAGCTGAATGGGCACCAGCTGAAGAAAGCCTTAGAACTCTAAAGGGTTCTCAAACTCGGCTGCATATTAGAATCAGTTGTGGAGTTCTTAAAGCTCCTTAACCCCAGGCTGGCCCAGATGAATTAAATCAGAATCTCTGGGGGTGGGAGGTGGGAGAGGAGTGAGGGAAGGGAATTCCCAAGTGTTGGTATTGCTCAAGCTCCCCAGGTGATTCAATGTGTTTCCTAACTTTGTGCATCAAAATCACTTAGGATATCTTATTAAAATGCGGATTTTGATTTAATAAGCCTGAAGTGGGAGCTGAGATTCTGCATTTTTAAAAAGTTCCCAGGTGATGCCCATGGTAGTGGTGGGGGCCAGGCTCTGAGTAGCGATTCATGGCATTTACAGTATTTTTACTAGAGAACGAGGAGAATTCAATGGAGTCAATGAGTTTTCACTACAGACATTTATCTTCAAGATCCTTAAAGCTGCACGTTGTGTTAAAAGATGCCCAAGCTCTCAACGCCACATGCTAAGTGGCCATCCTGAGAAATAATAACCTAGAGCTTGACTTTATTTTTTATTTTTTTGGGACAGAGTCTCAGCTCACTGCAACCTCCACTCTCGGGTTCAAGCGATTCTCATGCCTCAGCCTCTCCAGTAGCATGTACCACCACGCCTGGCTAATTTTTGTATTTTTAGTAGAGATGGGGTTTCACCATGTTGGCCAGGCTGATCTCAAACTCCTGACCTCAAGTGATCTGCCTACCTCGGCCTCCCAAAGTGCTGGGATTTATAGGCATGAGCCACCACACTTGGCCCAGTTGCTTCTATTTGTATGTTTCAAGCAGATGGAGAGGCTGTCACAAGAGATAGCAGAACCGGATTTTTTGTTTTGCTTTTCAAGTCAAATTTTATTTTATTTTTTACTATTTATTTATTTTTAGAGACAGAATCTTGCTCTGTTGCCCAGGCTGGAGTGCAGTGGCACAATCATAGCTTGCTGCAGCCTCGAACTTCTGGACTCAAGTGATCTTCCTGCCTCAGCCTCCTGAGTAGCTAGGACTACAGGTATGTGCCACCATGCCCAGCTAATTCTTTTTTTTTTTTTTTTTTGAGACGGAGTCTCACTCTGTCACCCAGGCTGGAGTGCAGTGGCGTGATCTCGGCTCACTGCAAGCTCCGCCTCCCGGGTTCACGCCATTCTCCTGCCTCAGCCTCCCCATGCCCAGCTAATTTTTAAGTTTTTTGTAGAGATAGGGTCTTACTATATTGCCCAGGCTCCTGTTGAACTCCTGGCCTCAAGCGATCCTCCCATTGCAGCCTCACAAAGTGCTAGGATTACAGGTGTGAGCCAACACACCTAGTCTCGAATTTTAAATCTAAATATCTCTTTATGTCAAACTTTCAAACTTAGGGGAACCCTAACCCTGAGATAATCTCATAGAACCTCAAGTGACTCCCCAAAGCCCTACTGGCTATGGATATACATGGTGGTCCTGTCTCATGCCCTGGGAGGAACACGAGGGAGGCCTGATGCCCAAGCCCCATCACAGCCCGAGGACTATCAGGCTACACAGAATAAGAACACTGACTGCTATGAGATGTCTTTCCCTAAAGAGGGTGGTCTCCAGGAGATGACAGCATGGTGAAGGTGACAGAATTTACTGTGGCAACTTGCTGAGCTGTTGAGAGGGCAGCAGGAAGAAACACTTACCTGAAAGAGATTTTGGAATGGTTAGAAGACTTTCATGCACCAACGGATCGTCAGCTGCATTAACCAGCATGAGAGGAACATAAATCTGCAACAAGAACATAAAGCAGAATTAAACTACTGATTCCCATTTTCAGACCCCATCGATTCAAGGCTCAAACTCACTGCTGGACATGTTTTTGAAGCAAAGGGAAGAGGGTCACAGCTCAGCTTGCTGAACAGGTACAGGAAGGACGCCTTGTATTCTCTGGCAGTGTGATGAGTTACATCTGCCATTGTGATTACTGCCCTGAAAGCAGGAGTGTGTAGAAGAAAGCTTCCTGATAATCATCAGAGTGTTTCAGATTAGCCACTCCTTTTAGGAAATGACTTTGCAATGAATTATGTACATATTCATTCAGTTTATATCATGGGAGCGGAAAATGAAGTGCACTCCATACCAGACAAAAGAGATTCTACAGGAATCTAGGCCAAGGCTGGGCACAGTGGTTCGTGCCTGTAATCCCAGCACTTTGGGAGGCCAAGGTGGGAGGACTGCTTGAGCCCACAAGTTTGAGACCAGCCTGGGAAACATAGTGAGACCCACAGCCCAGTCTCTATTTGTTAAAACAAACACAAAAACAAAAATAGAACAAATCAAAAGAATCTAGGTCAGGCTTATGGCTTATGCCTATAGTTCTAGCTACTCAGGAAGCTGAGGCAGGAGGATCACTTGAGGCCAGGATTTCAGAGCTGTGGTGAACTATGATCATGCCACCGCACTCTAGCCTGGGAAACAGAGCAAGACCCTGTCTCTTTAAAAAAAAAAAAAAAGAAAAGAAAAAGAATCTGAAGGTTGAAAACAGGAATAGGCTGGTGGATATTGGAAAACCGTTGGCAGGGTTGCATTCAACATCCACTTTACTAAAACAGCCAATAGCCTTCTTTTTCATTTTAGTGGAGATGGTACTGATAGGGAGACTCAGATGTCACTGAACAGCCATAATGAGGCAGTGAATGATTGTGGTATCCTGTAGGTCTCTGATGTTGGCTCTAGACAGCTCAACATTCCTACAATGGCTTAAATGACGACATCAAAAAGCCTGATGATGCTAAACTAGGAGAGATGGCTGATAAGACAGCACAACTACAGTTTCCAGTGATCTGCTTTAGCCAGGGGAATGATGGGCCAAACCTACAGGTGGACATTGACAAGGATAAATGGGAAGTCCTGTGTTTGGATAAATAGGGCAATAAATTGTGCAAAGACAGAATGAGAGGGACTGGCTTGTTGGTCATTCAGGTAAAACAAACATATGGAGATTTTGGTTGGCCACAAACTTAATCACACAAAGTTTATTGTAGCTGCTAAAAGTTGCATTAATACAAACAAGTCTACCTTATCAACAGACATCTCAGCTGGGCATGGTGTCTCACGCCTGTAATCCCAGCATTTTGGGAGGCTGAGGCAGGCAGATCACGAGGTGAGGAGTTGGAGACCAGCCTGACCAACATGGTGAAACCCCATCTCTACTAAAAATACAAAAATTAGCCAGGCGTGGTGGCACATGCCTGTAATCCCAGCTACTCAGGAGGCTGAGGCAGGAGAATTGCTTGAACCTGGGAAGGTGGAGATTGCAGTGAGCAGAGATTGCGCCACTGCACTCCAGCCTGGGCGACAGAGCGAGACTCCATCTCAAAAAAAAAAAAAAAAAAGAAAAAAATAGACATGCTCATCATTACTTTGATACAGAAACACATCAGTTTTACTCTGTGCTTACCAGATCATGGCAGGAATTTTGAGTTCAGTCTTAGGCACTATGGTAACAAAATACAGAATGGCCAAAAGAGGGTCCCGGATGGTAAGAAATCTAGACAGATCTCACTGATCTGGCAGAAACCAGACAGGATTATACTGTCAAAGGAAGACTAAGAAAAAAGTGGGTGTTGGAGCACTTTTAAAGGCCCTCACACAGACATGGGAGCACACCAGTCTAAGGGGCAGCTCTGGGATTAATGTATGGCAGTTACAGAGGGACAGAGCCTGGTTCAATAAACAAATCCAAGCTAAAAGAGCGGTTGGAGCCAGATTCCAGCTGAGCTTCCACCAGGAAAATTCAGGAGAGGTATCTGTCGTATTGTGTGCGAGGCTGGGTGGAGTGATGCTGATTCTGAGCCCGTGATGGCCACTCACCCTGTGCAGGTACCGCATGCAACTTTCTTCCTCATAGTATTCCTTCAGGGAGTTATAGCCGTGAAACTTCCTGCAACACACCAGAAAAAGAAAAAAAGAAAAAGGACAAAACATTGGTCTTTAAGATCAGAATGCTGAGCCGACGATGGCTCCAGTTCCTCACGCTAACTTGTGGCATTGGTAGAGTAGACAGAGGCAGGAGCTAGGCCTGAATGCTGAGCTGATTTTATGACTGTTCCAGATCCTGCACTAACTCATCATATCAATGAAATGTATGCAGGTAGCAAGGTTCAGGGTTAAGAGCACTGGCTTTGGCATTGGGGTTCAAATCCTGCTTCGGTTATTTACTGGCTATGTGACCTTGGGCAAATGGTTCAACTTATCTGAGCCTCAGCTTCTCCTGTATAAAATGAATCTGAAGACAGGGCCTTCCTCAATGGAACTGTGAGACTTATGATGTTCAAGTGCTTACTAGCATCATGACCGACCCAGAGTAATTACCCTGTAGTAATTGTTATCTATAGTAATTATTAGTGTATGTTACATCTCTTGTGGCAGTATAAAACCAGATGTCACTATAGATATGGAGAAACTGAAATTCAAGGACATTTACTGGAACTTTCCTTTTAACAGAGTTCTTAGTGGAGTAACAGGACCACCGTGAATTGGAATAAAATATGTATTAGGTAACAGAAATGAGACCGTCATTCAAAGTTACCAATTCTGTCCCTTTATCTCTGACTACTGCTCCGATCTCTGACTACAGAGCAATAGAGATAAACTGGCATGTAACAAAACCTTCAGTGCTCAGCATGAATGAGGGGCCGCAGCTCTGCTCTGCTCTGCTCCGTGCTCCCAGAGGCCCCTCAAGGTTCAATCTGGAGCTCCGACACCAGGAGGCCTAGGCCAGAAGATCTCAAAACCTCTTTCTGACACAGATTAGGGCCTCTGGCTTCTGAATGGTGGGTCTTCCTGTTTTGACTAGGGTCTTTAAGCTATCCTTCCTCCCCCAAAGCTGTGGATCTCATTAGACATCTCTGCCTGGGAATGGCCTGGAAAGCTCAGGCTGGACTAGTAGGGCCCTCTTGACAGGGTGGAGGCCAAGTGTAGAGATCATCTCTAAGATGCCTGTCCTTGTGAAATCAGTTCGTTTGCAGTCTCAGCAGGCAGGAAATGCATTGTTCCATCCCTCCAGTATTACTGGGATGGATCTCTGAGGAAGCCACCAAGACTGGTTATGATCATAAAACTGCTATTTTCCAACGCTATTAAAGAGGAAAGACTTTAGAGAGTGTTGAGAAACATTCTCTTCTGGGCTTAAAAAATTTAGGAGATGAATGGGAAATTTAATTTGTTTTTTCTTACCACACACCGCAATACAGTCACACACTTCATCTGAAGTGAGGGTGGGTAAGATTCATTTTTCACCTTCTGAACATACCAGCAATTTCCTAGTTTTCATTTCCTTTGAGAAACTGTTAGCAGGCATATTTCAACGTTACTTGGTGTAAGAAGGCTACTAAAATCTCATAAGGAAGCAAAGCAGAGATCCTATACCCTTAGGTCAATATCTGCCTATCTATTAGATGAAGAATAATTGCTTGCTTTAAGCTACATCTAAAAATATCAAATAATTTATTTTTTATATTTTAGGGACAGGGCCTTGCTCTGTTGCCCAGGCTGGGCTCCAGTGCAGTGTTGGGACCATAGCTCACTGTAATCTCAAACTTATGAGCTCAAGTGATCCTCCTGTCTCAGCCTCCTAAGCAGCTGGGACTACAGGTGTGTGCCACTATGCCCGGCTATTTTTATTTTTCAATTTTTTTTTGTAGAGACAGGGACTTGCTATGTTGCCCAGGCTGGTCTCAAACTCCTTGCCTCATGTGATCCTCCAGCCTCAGCCTCCCCAAGTGCTGGAATTACAGGCATGAGCCACTGTTCCTGGCCTCAAATGATTGTTAAATGAAAAGGATCACGTATTTAAAGAGAATGATGAGATCAGAGGTCAACTTTTCCTTTTTCAGCTGAGGCTAACCTCAATCAGAAACTACTGGAACCAGGAAAGAGGCCACTGTCAAGGCTGCAACCTCAGGTGCCTGGAGGAGAGAGGCAGATAAAGAGTAGATGAATGAAGTGGGCAGTATTTGTGTCTCACACTCAGAGTGGAGTCACCATGCCCCAAAGTAAGAGGCTCTGTCCATTTTGCTTGAAACACATAGTCCTCTTGGTCTATCTTCTGTTTTTCTACTTCTTTTTTTTTTTTTTTAATTTTGAGAAGGGTCTTGCTGTGTCACCCTGGCTGGAGTGCAATGGCATGAACATGGCTCACTGCAGCTTCAACCTCCTGGGCTCAAGCGATCTTTCCCCCATGACCTCCCAAATCCTCCTAGGATTACAGGCATGAGACACTGCCCCCAGCCAGTTTTTCTACTCTTGTTAGAGACACAGAGAAGTACAAGAAGTATTTCTTTTGCCTTTTACTCCACTGCGAAATGCAGATTTATGTGGCACCTGACACTTGCCCTGGTGTTGAGGCAGGACAGGTAGGGTGAAGACTGCCCATGCTAGGGCCTGCACGCCCCAGCTCCTTGAATCAAGCTAACTATGCTTTGTAGGAATGCAGAATGAGTGGTCGGATCCTTTTCCTATTTTCCAGGAGAAACTAGAAATTTAAATGTTCCTGTGAAATCTTCTGTTTTTAAGCACTAGACACTTACTTAAAGGGAAAAAAACACCCTTAACACTCAAGTAGGCAGAGCAAACACTAGTGCTGGGCACAGCTGACCTGCAGCCTCCTGCCTGGCACCCTGCCCCAGAGCGTCCCTCTCCCGCCTGCGCGGACACACCTCATCACATTGTCATCAATCTGCATCAGGGATGTTGCTGTGTAGAGCCGGCTCAAGTCCGTGTCTTCCAGGCTCTGGGGTTTCTTAACATGGTCTCCAAAAAGAGCTTGCCTAGAGCAAACACAAAAGCAAACAGAGATTAAGATGTGGAGGATGAACAACCATGGCATAGCCTGCTTCCTTGCCACAGCAAGCCAGGAGGGAGAGCCAACGTGGTCAGTTAGAAATAGAACCTTTAGCCTTTGGAATGTCCCAGAGGATGAGCTGGCGCTGTTAATGTCAAAACCTTATTTCCCTTTTCAGGGGTACCCAGACAAACTAAAGATTGGGTTTGAACCTAGTTGAATATTAAAAAACCTTCAGCACAGGGGAGGGGGGCTCAAGACGGGCCTTGTGGTGAGTGGTGGGCCATGGGCCAAGCCGTAGGGGCGTCGTCCTTACACTGTGTTGACAATGTCCCCCTTGGCAGAGACCCTTCCCCTTAATGAGCTGTTTGTGTTGCTTAACAAGGAAGACTCAGTGTGCAGGAAGGAGTGGAAAACAAACAAAAAGCGAGGAAGACAAGGGTTAACTCATTTAGCATTTGGGCAAACCAACAGCTCTCTAGTGTCTTAGATAAAAGCTAACATCTATTCAGGAGAGCAATCATTTTTTTTTTCCCAACCCCCAAGTGGAACCAGCATTTCTATTAAGAAAAAATCCATCTGGAGAGGATGACATTAGAGGTAGGGGTCACAACGTGCATTTTTGACCTCTCTTCCCAGCAAGGGCTCTCAGTCACACACCTGGAAGCGGACTGAATTTGTTGAGGCATGGCCCTGCGGTAGGAAGGATTTATTATGCCAACTTGGTATTCTGCGACTCATTCACAACCTCTCCAAAAGAAGAACACATTTCTGTAGCATTTATTTTTTTCAAAAGACTATTAGGAAGATTATATACCTACTGGATAGAATGTACAAATTCAAAGTTAACCTAAAATTTCCAAATGTTTGGCTTTCTGTAGTAAATTTGAAAAATGTGAATACTTAGAGTACACTCAAAGGACTCTCATAATTTGAACCTTCTAGACTAATTAGTAGCAAGACTGGGTCCTTTAGCAAAACAAATGTTTCCTGGGAGGAGTCACTTTTGACACCAGAGGTGTGGAAACGCAGACAGAGGACTTGGACTTGGTGTCAGAGGCCTGGATCCACCCCTTCTGGCTACAAAACATCTGCAATCTCCAGACCCATTCAAACTCAGCTGAGCTACACGCACCTCAGTGCCCAGCACACAGCTGAATCTCAAACAACATGAGCCAAGTGGGAACAGCTGATTTTCCAGCCAGCACAGGGGACATAAGTCTCCCTCTGCTCTCCTTCCAGACACGAGGACACAAGGACATGTTTGGCAACGTGGCAGCCTGATGGGGCCTTCAAGCCCAGCCTTGCTTAGGTGCCATGTGAACGCCCACCCGTAGGAAGCCCAATCTGGGGTGTGTGGTCTGCTTTAGCCACTGGAAAAAAGAGAACAAGAAATTGATCATTTAGTCAGATTGCTTTTTCTAGGGTGATACCAAAAATCCCCCAAATTTTTTTGAGCGAACGGGTGTGTCTCGGGTGCTGGGAGCAATCAACACATGCCTAAGCCCTCCAACGCTCTCCAGTTTGGTTCTAGACGTAGGATTTACAGAGGGGAAGCAAAAGAAAAGCAACTTGGGCATGGATGAGTTGGCTTCACAGAAGCAGGAGAATTGAGATGGACTTTAAAGGATGGGCTGAGTTCCCACCAGCAGAGAAACGGGAGAGTATTCTCAGCAAGGGCAGTAAGTAGTGTGGCAGAGGCCAGGGGACACAGGAACCTCTAAGTAGCCTAGTCCAGCTAGAGGGAATGAGAGGCGTAGAGGAGGAGGCAGAGATGTCAGCAATAATAATAATCATAATGAAAAAGTCATTGCTAATATTTATCTGGTGCTATGCATAACAGCACTGCTCTAAGCACTTGACAGGTTAACCCACCACAGGATTACGAGGCGGAGAGGCAGGACAAGCATGAAGAATAAGGAGAGGCTCAAACTCCGAGCAGGGAGGCGCCGAAACCATGCCCTGAGCCTCCTGTCCCGCTGCTGCTTGGTCAGAAGCCCAAGCGCCAGCCAAGAATGAGTCCTGATCCCCCAGGCACAGAAGCATCCTACAGGGAAGGTCTCCTCAACAATGACAGCCACCTCGTGACTGCTCTAATTTGGGAGAAAAGGGTGTGGAAGTGGTTCATTGTCTTAGATTTACTGGGAATTATAAAAGCATAAGGCAATTTGGCAAATTCAGTAGCTTGGGACAGGTTTCTTTTCTTTTTTTTCAGACAGGGTCTCGCTCTGTCACCCAGGCTGGGGTGCATTGGCGCAATCTTGGCTCGCTGCAGCCTCCGCCTCCTGGGTTCAAGCGACTCTCCTGCCTCAGCCTCCCAAGTAGCTGGGATTACAGCGGCACCATCATGCCCAGCTAATTTTTGTATTTTTGGTAGAGATGGGGTTTCGCCATGTTGGCCAGGCTGGTCTCAAATTCCTGGCCTCAAGCTATCTGCCCGCCTCAGCTTCCCAAAGTGCTGGGGTTACAGGCGTGAGCCACCGCGCCTGGCCAAGACAAGTTTGTTTCTAATCAAGTCACAAATGCAGGCAGCAGAGAGTCTGTACCACACCTGCATTTTTTTTTTTCCCCTGAAGGAACAGGAGTCCTGGCTTTTCACGGTTCCCAGATGAGCTCAGGAAGGAACTGTCTGTCTCCTGAGAGAGAACGGAAGGTGACCTACCTGTGCGAGAGGATGATCTTCTTCATGTTGTCAGCCATGAGGAAGTTGTAGAACCGCCGGCACTGATCCCATTGCATGAAGGTTTCCTGGGCCCTGGAAGAACCACAGCGAGTGAGGGTGACTGCGGTGTGGGGGTGCAGGCGGGCAGCCAGGAGGGGGCTCTAGCCATGGGGTGAGGTGCTTGTGTGGAGAGGGCCGGCTCTCAGGCTGTGGCCTCTGCATTAAAACAGAGGCTCTAATGTGCAGAGCTCAAACACCTGTGGAGAAATCTATGGAGACACCAAGACAGCGCAGGGGAAGGGGACCCCGGCAAAGGCCCTCTCTAGCGCCAGAGGCTTTGTTGGTGGCACCCCCGACACTCTCTTCTAGCACCTGGACCTTCTCTTAGTCACTGAGCCTGCCAGGACCAAAGTCTGCTTCAATTGTCATGTGAACACTTTCTGTATTTGGCTCCCTACCTGGCAGGCAAGTTTTCTGGTTTAATGACTGGCACATGGAACGGGAGAGTGGGTGTGGAGGGGAAAACCTAAAAAATCTTCTGTCATTGCTGATCAAGAGGTAAAGGAAAATCATTAACTGGGATCTCCTCCAAATACATCTATCTTTTGATTAGCCTTATACCATTGAAGAGGCAAGGAAATCGAAGTGGAAGTAGACAGGCCCTTAACCCTTTGTAGGCACAGCTGGTGGGGCTGGTCTGGAAGTGTCTTTCTGCCTCTAGGGCTAGTGTGTGACTGGCACACTAGTGTGTGGCTGTGAGGGCCACACTCTGACCCTTCAATGGCGGCAGTAGGCAGGTGATATTATCCCTGTTTTCCAGAGCCCAGGTTCTGCCAGCAGCACATGCAGAGGGAGGAGACAGCACCACCAGCCCTGGCCATGTGCTTCCCCAGCCAGATGTCCATGACCACACAGCAGGTGAACAAACACCAGTGGGCTCACTCCCACCAGCCATGCCTGCCCAGCCCTCCCCACTCACTGCTCTCCTCCCTTGGGCGTGAATCCAAACGCAGGCGGACACTGAGTCCACACTCATTACAGGGAAACTTTTATCTTGCACGTTTCAAAATCTCCAGGCCTGACTCCACCCTGTGAATGGATCTGGACGTCACTACTTCTACTAGGTTCCATCTTCCAGATGGTAAGTGAGGGGACCAGGTGGTTTGTAAGGTTTTTTGTTTTGTTTTTTATTATTTTTTCAATCCAGGGAGTTTATAAAAGTAATTTTATAAAAGTAATTTCCCCAAAGCTGCTACAATTTTAGAATGGCAAAATTCCACAGTTTTGGAGTGACAAACATTTCCCACAATGTCGTGGTTAAAAAATAAGAGGTAGTGGGGAGTTAAGAATGAAATGGTTTGTGAATTTAATGGTCTGCAATGTGCTCATCAAACACAGGCTAAGCTCAAGGTGAAGACTACCACCACCCTGAAGGGTCAAAAGGCCACTGCATAAATGTGCAGCCAACCCCCGCCCGACTCTAACCAAGCACTACAGGAAGAGTATAGGACCAGACCACCATGAGGGACCCCGGCTAAAGCAGGACTGTGCTCACCTGCCTGTGGTCAGAGGGAAGGGGGTCACCCAATCACCGAGCCACAACCAGCTGCCTCTCCTCTGACTTTGGATCCAAGCCACCCAGAGAGCCAGTGGTCTCTGGCAATCCCAGCTTTCTCTTACCCTGGTTCATTTCTCCCTTTGCTGACCTCCTAACTGAAGGGATGTTCTTGCTTTTGTTAGTACCTCCTTCATTGCAGACAGGCTGCAGAGGTAGGGAAGGGAGGAGGGTGTGGCCATAAACAAGATATAAAAAGATGCTGCAGCCCTTGATTTTTTTTTATTGAAAACACCACAGGCACTGCTTGTTGAAAGGTTCTAGGGATTCACAGGGACCCAGGGCTCAGGGAGGGATCAGGACAAGGATGCTGGGACCAGTATTCCACTGTTTATTTTGGCTAAGATTGAGTTTTAGTATCTTTGGTTTACCACTCAGTATATGTAGGGGATGTCTTTTACCTTTGGCTGTAGAATTAAGGAATTGAAACTTAAATTTATATTGCTTTAATAAAAGAATCAAGATCAATGTATTACATTCATCTCATATATATATATATATATATATATATATATATTTTTTTTTTTTTTTTTGAAAAGGACTGATGTCTTCAATACCAACAACAGCAAACTGAAAGGCAGTAAAAGAAAGGGTAACCTACAGACTAAAAGAAACATAGACAAATCAATAAATGCATATGTAGGCAGTATGTGGATCCTGATTCAAACCAGCCAACTGGCAAAATAAACAAACAAACAAACAAACAGCACTTCCATGAGACAATCAAGGAAATCTGGACACTGACTAGACATGGGATGCTATTAGGGAATTATTGCTAATTTTTTGGGTGATGATGGTATTTGTGGTTATGTTTAAGAAAAAGTCCTTAGAGTCTTTTAGAGCTACCTAGTGAACTACTTACAGATGAAATGATATCTGCAACTTGCTTTAAAAGAATGTAGTTTCTGAGGGAGGGGTTGAATGGATAGGTGTAGAGGAAACAAGATGGGGGTATGAATTCATGTTATTGGAGCTGGTAGTGGCTACACTGGGGTTCAATTTTAGATGCAAATCACAAAATGGGCACGAAACCAGGGGAGTTTAGCTCTCTAGACACTGCACAAATACCTTACTTGCCTATCCAAGTTCTTTTTTTGTTTTTGTTTCTTGAGATGGAGTCTCACTCTGTTGCTCAGGCTGGAGTGCAGTGGTGTGATCTCAGCTCACTGCAACCTCCACCTCCTGGGTTCAAGCGATTCTCCTGCTTCAGACTCCCGAGTAGCTGGGACTACAGGTGTGTGCCATCATGCCCAGATAATTTTTTGTATTTTTTTAGTAGAATACGGGGTTTCGTCATGTTGGCCAGGGTGGTCTAGAACTCCTGACCTCAAGTGATCTCTAGGTCTCGGCCTCCTTCCAAAGTGTTGGAATTACAGGCGTGAGGCACTTCACCTGGCCTGAATATCCAAGTTCTTGACTTGCCTCTAGATAGCTATGTTCTCCAGAAGAGAGAAGGGGTGGCAGGAACTGCTCCCCAGGCTGGGCCAGATATTGGTCCACCAGGATAAACTGGCTGAGGACACAGGAGAGAAGTGTGGAACCCTGGGAGGGGCAGCTCGGGCAGAATTACAGGGAGGGAATGGCTTTGCAAAATTCAGAGTGAATCTTGCTGGAAGGAGGGTAGGTTTCAAAACTTCAGAAAGAACCAGGATGACTCCAAAAGGAAAGATGCTTTCTGAAAGTTGCAAAACTCTCAAGAAGTGATAATCACAAATGAGAAGAGAAAATTAACCCCCAAACCCAGTATAGTTTCACTGGGAGTCTTTTTTGAGAATAATCCATAAGGATTTTTAAAGAACTTTGTCCATCCATTGATCTACCTATTACCAACATAAATAGAATTCCCTGAAAATGCCTTCATTTCTAATCAATGTAACATTAAATTATAATAAAATATGACCCATACTGGTTTCAAAGCCATTTTCTAGTGAGAGATTTCTCTTTGGACTGTTAAAAGAATTTTAAGAGGTGTTGCGGAAGGCAATGGATTTTAATCCCTCAGAAGAGGGTCCCAACAAACAGGCATTTACAATTAGGTTCAGAGCAATCACTTGGGCAAGGAAGAGCTGAGCCAACCATTATGCTGCTGGGGTAACTGCTTAGAGAAGGCTCAGCTTTCCAGTTCATATTTTGCAAAGTGAGTGGACCAAGTACTGATGAAAACGAATTAAAGTCAGAAGAGAATGAACTGGGGAAAGAATGCATCTAATGGTACCCAAGTGAATTCAGATCTCCTGGCTCAAATAAATTATGTCTCAGAGTGCTGAGAGACTATAAGAATAGTGAAACAGCTTTCCTGTGGTCTTTGAAAAAATATGGAGAATGAGAATGAGGTTCTGTAAGAGTGGGATGGGCAAGCATGACCTTAACACCCCAAAAAGGGAAAAAAGGCAAGGGCAGTATGAATTAAGATTGGAGATGAATTAATGGGATGTGGATGTAGACGATACTAAAAAAATACCTTGAAAGCAATATGCTAATGAAACCTTAAGAATAAAGTACATTAAGTACTTTCCCATAATGCTATCACACCGACCTAAGAAGTATTTTTACTTGTAGAAGGAGGGGATTTCTTTCCAGGTTTTGCCTATATACAGTCATATTTTTAAAAAATTATGATAAAAACACATAACATAAAATTTACCATCTTGTTTTTTTTTTTTTTTTTTTTTTGAGACAGAGTCTCGCTCTGTCCCCCAGGCTGGAGTGCAGTAATGGCATGATCTCGGCTCACTGCAACCTCCGCCTTCTGGGTTCAAGAGATTTTCCTGCCTCAGCCTCCTGAGTAGCTGGGATTACAGGTGCGCGCCACCACACCTGGCTAATTTTTGTATTTCTAGTAGAGGTGGTGTTTCACCATGTTGGTCAGGCTGGTCTCAAACTCCTGACCTTGTGATCCGCGTGCCTTGGCCTCCCAAAGTGCTGGGATTCCAGGCGTGAGCCACCGCACCCGGCCCTTCCCTACTTTTAATATATACATTCTGTCGTGTTATATATTTTTCTTGATTTTTTAAAATAAAAGCTGCCTCGTTTCCCACTGAGTTGGTATATTATTAATTTATTTAACTATCTCCCATGCTGGACATGTGGATTATTTCTAATTTGGGCACTGTAAGAGAGTAATCCTGCAGTGGGGGCAAAACCAGGACCAGCCCAGCCTGCAGAGAGAGGAAGAGGGCACGATCCTAGGCAGGCTGGCCAAGCCCAAGACAGGGCTCCTGCCTTGCACAGCCGGGCCTCTGGGAGGAGGGATGGTAGAGCCTCTGGACCCAAAAGACCCAGCCAGAAGGTTCTGGGCTGGTAGCAGGTTGCCCTTCAGGGGCAGAGTCAATCTGTAGAGAGGTCATCATCTCCAGCTAGTTCAGCTTGAGTGTGAGCAGAAGAAAACCATGTTTGTACCACACAAGGGAGTGGGCCAAGAGTTTTTGGTACCTGCCAGGCTGGGCTTTGTTAGTTCCACTGGGGTGGAAGGATGGGGCAGAAAGATGGACTTCAGACTAGAGTAGGGATGGCCACCTACCAAGCCCCTTTCTTCCTTATCAGAATCTTTTCCTTTTGCAGGATGTACTTTTACAGGAATGAGTTAGAGTCTCTCATTATACTGATAAAAAAAAAATTAACAACAACAAAAAAACCCACAAAAAGCCCCAAGGCACTAAGGGCAACCATGTGGTCAGGTCAACTTCACAACCCAGTGGTGGAAAAGCTGAGCTGTTTCCCAGGGTGAGGTTCCGTCCATAGAGTCTCATTTAAACGCTGCAGTTTCCCCCTCTTTGTTTGGCTGTGATTCAAAATTACTGATGGCACAAAGTTACTGTATTTTATAGCTCTTCAACTATAAAAACAAATTTTAGGAAAGTCCCAGTCTCTGGGGAAACTTTATGAATAATATTTGCTTTTGCCATAAACTCATCTCTAGCCTGAAGTTTGCCCATCAAAAGCAAGAGAGACAATATCCCCACCATTTGGCAGGAAAAGTGGTACCTGCCTCTTCCCCATGGCAGGAAGGCCTTGCTCAAAGAATGCTAGGATGTTCAGGTTTACCTGAACCAAGGAGGTCAGGTCTTAGTGATGTTAACACATCCACTTAGCCCGGAGTATAATGTGCCTTTAAGGAGATTTGAAACACTCCTCTGATAATTCCCCTACTGTCCTGTAAGGAAGCAGTCCTTGGGACTGGCTTTGTGGAAGACAATTTGTCCACAGCCTAGGGAAGGCAGGGGCAGGGGGATGGCTTCAGGATGATTCAAGCACATTACATTTATAATGTACTTTTTCCCTATTATTATTACATTATCATACAGAATGAAATAATTCTACAACTCACCATAACATAGAATCAGTGAGATCCCTGAGCTTATTTTCCTGCAACTAGACAGTCCCATCTGGGGGTGATGGGAGACAGCGACAGATCATCAGATATTAGATTCTCATAAGAAGATGCAAACTATCCCTCACATGCGCAGTTCACAATAAGGTTCATCCTCCTATGAGAATCTAATGTCACTGCTGATCTGACAGGAGGCGGAACTCAGGCAGTAATGTGATCAATGGGGAATGAGACTAAATACAGATGAAGGTTCACCCACTGCTTCCCTACTGCTTTGCCCACTGTGACCTGCCCACCGCTCACCTCCTGCTGTGCGGCCTGGTTCCTAACAGCAGTTGGGACCCCTGCTGTAAGGGGCTTCTGCCCCTGGCCTGGGCCCTGTGCTACTGTCCTCCTCACCCTCACCTCCTTCAGAAATCCCTCCTCATGGACCCCCCACTTGACTGAGGACCTCCTTGGCACCCATATGCCTAAATGTGTAATATCTTAGTAACATGTATTTGTTGCTTTGTGGCTTTGTAAATATCACTCTGCTGTCTTAAGTGCTGTGAGGTCCTCAGATACAGACTATCTTTTACACCCAAACTGCAATAAAATGCTTTTGTTTTAGTTTTATTATTACTGGTCAATTCTGTAACATAAGGTTGTTGAGGGCTTTCTTGGGAAAGAATTTATTTTACCTGAAACCAGACCAAAAATGCTTCTCTCCCCATTTTCTTTAAGCTCCATGAAGGCAGGGAATTAGTCAGCCTTGTTCAAGGCTGTGTCCCTGTTACCTAGGAGGATGTCTCACCACACAGAGTCCCCAGGCGGGTTGGCAGCTGTTTATGCTGAGGGAACATGTTAAAGTCTGCCGGATACCAGGTGATTTCAGGGCATCTGTGTCCCTCCTTCAGTGGTTCAGCACATTTAGGTAGAAGGTGAGCTAGTTTAGCAGCAGCTAGACTTTGCTAACTACAGCAAGCGGGTGGCTGGCTTCTCTCTGAGCCTTCAACCGGCTCTGGCTAGATGGGAGGTGAGCTACGGGAGGAGAAGCCAGAGGGAGGGGTTCACTGAGGAAGCGGGTCTCCAGACTCAGCTAGGAGAGATTTACCAGACGCATGAACTCTCGTGTGGCCCCTGCAGAGGCAGACGGGCCTCCCCGGCTCCACCTTGGTGTGATGGGAAGCACTTATGCAGCTGCCACCATCCCAGTGCTGAAAGGCTCATCGCCCTCAAGCCTTGGCAGGAAAAAAAAAGGTTATACTGGTTTAAAGTAAGGAACTGTGCTCCATTTATTCCATAGATCTGGTTTAAATGTTGAGGGTACCTGAGCCTTGGACCAGCACACACAAGGACAACAGTGTCTCTCTGACCTGGTGCCAGTTCCCATATGCAGGACCACATGATCTTAGCCTGGGCAAGTTAGTTCTCTGTGCTCCAGACAATAAAGTTGCAACTTGCTCTTTGTTGCATGAGGTTGGTGTGCCAATAGTTAGTTATGTGTATGAAGCCCTCTGAGGTCTCAAGGAAGAGGCTGTGTAGGCTATGTCTGCAAAATGTATAGCACCTCACAGATTTTAGTTTTCTAGCTTCTTGAGCCTTCTTTGCCTTAGTTCAAACACCTTAGCTTGCTGCGTCAATCATGTGCTCTTGCTGACAGCAGATGGCGCTACTGCAGCAAAATGAGATGAAGGGATTGTCGTGTTAAGATTTTGTGCATTGAAAAAAAAGAAAACAAAACAAACGTCCTAGTTCTGCTCCCTTGGATCCTGGGGTAGGCCCCTTGCTCATGTCTTTCTTATCCCAGTGACTGGGCCCGACAGGACTTTGGTTAATTCTGGTTACACGTGGCTATGAGCTGGGAGTTGGATATTACTAGTCCCACCAAGATAAAGGCACATGTCCTCTCAGCTGACTCCCCAGTGTCCAGAGGAGTGAAGGAAAAGATTCCTGGTAGGAAGATGGGGGACTAGCCTGGTCCTGGAACGCGAGAGCAGCTGGAGAGACCACTGAGGTCACTAACCCCGGGGACTGCTAAACGTAACTAAACTGAAAACTCGCCTATGAAATGTATCCAAAATGCAGACTTCTGAGGTCCCATGCCTCCAACTTCATGAATCAAAATCTCCAAGGGTGGGGCCCAAGAAACAGAATTTCTTTCTAACATGATCCTCCAAGTGATTCCTTATGAAGTGAGGCAGTCACTAGTTCACTGGACCGGTCTTTGTGATCCGCCGATCGAACCCACCTCCTTCATTTTACAGTGAATGACGATGATGACGATAATGAAAATGAACAGTGGCTTACGTTCTGCGTGCTGGGCACTGTTCTAAGCACTTCACACGCATCAACTCATTTGACTCTCAGCGGTGCTATGAGGTAGGTACTGCTTATCATCATCATCCCCATATTGCCGGCACGGAAAAATAGAACCCAGACCTTGGTCCTGGGACTCAGGAAGGGTTTCATCAGAGATGTTTCTCATGTCTATCGTGGGTACATTTAGATCACCTTTTTCAGCCAGCTTTAAGCCTCATAGGGAGAGGCTGAATCCTGGGCCCACATGTGTCTTTTGGGTGTGCTGGCTTTAAATTCCAGTAATATGTATTTTTAGAAATAATATAGATGGCCTCTATCCATCAGAAAGTAACAAGGTATGTTTAAACTGCAGCATGAGATATACAGGTGAGGCAAAAAGATTCTTTGAATAACGATAAGGACTGTTTGGCATTAGACTGGATCAATAGGGAGGTGTTTTTAAACTTTCCCGTGTGTTTCAAATTTTTTCATCAGATTTTTAATAACTGGTTATACTCATTGGTAAAACGAAAGACACCATGAAGAGTACAGAAAAAAATATGAATGTATTTGAAGAGCCTGGAGAGGTGTGTGTATAGTGTGAGTGTGTGCATGTGTGTGTGAACGTGTGAGTGTGGTGACTCTTGAGAGACCTGGGACAGCAGTGATCTTCAGGGGAATCGGGGCAGATGACCACGCCCTCCTGGGACTCATCCTGTGGGGCATCTACTGGCAAGAGACTAAGGGGTGGGAGAAAGCTTGACCCAGTAGATCAGCTCCTTTGTGATGATGCCTGGGATGCCTGACAGAGACAAATACTTAAAGGTGAGGACACTGATTAAATGATTTCTACAGATCCCTTCCAGATGCCATCTGGGACTCATCTCTTGCAGGAAGGAGGGATCTGGGATCCCAAGGCCCAGCTTTCAGATCCCAGCTTGCCAGTCTCCTGTGCTCTTTCATTAATCCACGTTTCTATAAAAACTCCTGAAGCCTGAACAAATTAAGTCACCTGACAGAGATTCCCTAGGAGACAGCAACTATCAAAGGGGGTTTTACTTCTCCAATTACAGATCTGACCCCAAAACGCAGCTGCATATCCCAGGCTTAAGGGGTCTGATGGGGCATCTCCAATGTATGATATGCAGACAAAACAAGGTGAGTCCAAGACTCAGAAACTTCTACTCAGTCGGCCACAGTGTTCCCCGGTCTTCACAGAACAGTGTGTTGTGCGTCGGGGCATCTCTATAAATAAGGGCTAACTGAAGGCCCTGATGGAAGGCGGAGATGACTCACCTCAGTGCACTGTACCCCTGGCACACGCTGACGCAGCACAGGACCTTCTCTTGGTTTGCCTGAGTCTCCCCCAAGTATTTGCACACAATGTTACCACCCAGGCTGAAGCCCACGACGACCAGCTGGGTCAGGGGATATGTCTTCTTGATGTAGTTCACCATGGCTCCAAATTCCCACGTGCAGCCTGTGGGCAAAAGGGTGAGATTGCTCAATCATTTCAGGTGCATCCTATCTGGAGAAAATGCAAGCTGGAACGTTACTAAATGGGTGCCAGTATACTAAAAGAGAGAGAAATATATATGTGTATATATACGTGTGTGTGTCGGGGGATGTGTGTGGAGAGAGAGACAGACACTGCTCTTTGGCTATCCAGACAGAAGTTCCCAGATGCCCCTTGGGATAAGAGGAAACAGGGCCTCAGCAGTGCCAAAGCGTGGAGGTACCATGTATCAAATGTACAATGCTTCTTAAAAGGTAGGTCACAAGAACCGTGTCTAGATAATCATGGATATCAAAGCAGATTTCAGGGTGTGCATGAGCACATATGCTCACACACAGACCTAAATAAAAGCTAGGCCAGCCTGGACAAAATGGTGAGACCCCACCTCTACACACTACAGGTGTGTCCTTGTAGTCCCCGCTACTTAGGAGGCTGAGGCAAGAGGATCCCTTGAGCCGGGGAGGCAGAGGCTACAGTGAGCCAAGATCGCATCACTGCACTCCAGCCTGGGTGACAGAGTGAGACCCTGTCTCAAAAAAATAAAATAAGTAAATAAATAAATAAATGCAAGAGCAAAATCCTTTGAGATTAGCTTCCTAGGCTACAAATTGGGATGCTATACCCATGTGTATGATGATTCATGGTGTTAAGAAAAGTAGCAAGTGGATGTTATTTACAGAATCTTCTTGACAGAGTTGGAAAGGAGAGGAAAGATAAACTTCAGTCCAGAGGGACTGCCAGGATGCTCTGTAGGATTAGGGTAAAACGTTCTTGGTGACATAGGGACAGGGTGCCAAGGGAGGCAGGCTCATTCAAAAATACACAGATGAGACCTCTTAACAGAGAGGGTTGTTTGGGCCTCATTTGCCCAGGAGAGATGATCTCAGCTGGTGTCCCCTTGGGAAGTTATTGAAGCCATGTTATGTCTCAGCAGCTTTGCTAAGAGGAGGAGGTGAATGGCCATATTACAAGTGAAGGGATTCATCACATCCTTCTAAGGCCCAACCTCAAACTCTGTAGGGAGCCAATTTAAAATCTAACATGGAAAGATAGGGATGTCGACGCAAAGCACATACAAAATAGACTGGCATGAGAAGAGTACGGATTTACAATGGAAACGGGAGTTGTTGACTTTGGCACCAGCTCAGAGGTTTTGGCATTCTTAATAGAGTTGAACAGCTCCTTCCCTAATCATCAAGCCATGGGGGAAAGTATCTTTTGAGCCTGGGGTAAACTCCCCTTATATCTGTCTTCTTTTGTGGTAGGATGTAGCCTAAGCCAGGCCGGCACAGCCCCATGCAGTTCTTAAGCTGCAGTGTGCATAGAATCACCTGGAGAGGGTGTTAGAAATGACCATTCCTGGGCCTCAACTCCAGAGAAGCTGATTCTGTAAGATGGGGACCAAGCCCAGGAATCTATAGTGACTTTGTTTTTGAGTAGGTAATTCATGCCCATGGTAGAAAATTCAAATGCTGTAAAAGATGGAGTGAAAGGTAAGTTTCCTATATTCTTTTTAAAAATACCAGTGGTAACATACACATTGTTCGGTGGCTCTTTTTTTCCCTTTACAATATGTCTGGCAATATTATGCATCAATACACTTGAAACTGCCCTATTCTTTTTTATTTTTAATGGGGTATAACATACATACAGGAAAATGCACAATCAATGAAATTTTACACATTTATACCCAGGTAAGCATTGCCCAGATGAAGACGCAGAATATTTTTGACACCCCTGGAGGCCTCCTCATGCCTCTTCCCAGACAGTATCCCCTATACTTTTGACTAATAATCATGATCTGGAAATGCTGGGGGCTTAGAAGGAGCTTAAGCAAGAGATGCCTAAAACTAAGGGAAAAACCGGGCCAAGAGCTGCTTCCTCCCAAACAGCAGGACCCAGGCACCAACTTTGAGAAGGCAGCCCGTCTCCCTCTCCAGTGAGATAGTAGAGGATCAAGCTGCTTATTTTTCTCCCTCTTACACTCAGCAGAGGCTGGGGCAGTTTGCAGGCCTTCAATAAAGAGTTGCTGAATTGAGTGGATTCTGATGACAAGGCCTCTGAATGGGCCCTGAGGACAGGGAAGGAACAAAAACCTGGTCCAGAAGGATCCTTGAACTCTTAACTTTGGAATGTGAAATGCCAGACTGTTGTCCCCACCGAAGTCAGATTCATTCAAGTTTCTTTTTGTTCGTTTGTTTTTGAGACAGAGTCTCGCTCTGTCACCCAGGCTGGAGTGCAGTGGCACAATCTTGGCTCACTACAACCTCTGCCTCTCAGGTTCAAGCGATCCTCCTGCCTCAGCCCCCTGAGTAGCTGGGGTTACAGGCATGTGCCACCATGTCCAGCTAATTTTTGTATTTTTAGTAGAGACAGGGTTTTGTCTTGTTGGCCAGTCTGGTCTTGAACTCCTGACCTCAGGTGATCTGCCTGCCTCCGCCTCCCAAAGTGCTGGGATTACAGGCATGAGCCACTGCCCTGGCCAAGTTTCTCTTTTTAAGAAGGTAGCAATGGAAGGAATATTATGCCTCCAGGGAATGCTGGATTTCAAAATGTAGCTGTGATATAAAAAAGGGGATGTGCAAACAAACAGCTGAGAGCACAATGAGCAATTAGCTGATATCAGCTTCTACACCACGCAACAAATAAAAAATTTAGAAATCCCAAAGGAGACATTTGTTCACCTCCCTTGGGCCATAACAGGCACTGAAAACCAGGCCTTAAAGGAGCAGCCTGGCCTCATGGCTAAGTGAAAAGGCCCTGTGGCCAGACTGCTTGGGCCTACCACTTAGTGGCCCCAAATGTTCTCAATTTCTCTTTGATGACAAGTAACCCCCGTATACAGGGAAAATCTTCAGCTTCCAGGCTCCTTTCTGGAGGCTTAGAACCTACAGGAATAGGATGAGGCCTGGGAATGGGAACTTTCAACAAACAGCCCAGACAATTTTTGTAGTGAGGAAACTGTGCAAAATACCGTTACCTTGGGTAAGTTACCAAACTCTCCTAGGTCTGTTTCATCATCTGTAAAATGGAAGTAACAAGAGTAAAGACTTCGTAGAGTTGTTTAGAGATGTGAATAAAGTGATATACATAAACAGCTTAGATCAGGGTCCAGAGCATAATAAGCATTCAATGTTAATGGCTATAACTGACTCTAATTATTTTCTCTTTTAAAAATATGTAAGTATACCCATGTTTATAGCAGCATTATTCACAATAGCCAAAAAGTGGAACCAACCCAAGTGTGCCTTGATGGATGAATGGATAAGAGCAATGTGGTACATGTGTACAATGCAATATTATTCAGCTTTAAAAGGGAAGGACATCCCGTCACATGCTACAGCATGGAAGAACCTTGAGGACATTATGCTACATGAAGTAAACCACTCACAAAAGGACAAATACTGTAGGATCCTACTTATGTGACATACCTGGACTAGTAAAATTTACAGATGGAAAATAGAATGGTGGTTGCCAGGGGCTAGGGAGTTGTTGTTTAATGGGTATAGTTTTAGTTTTGCAAGATGAAAAAATTCTGGAGATTGGCTGCAAAACAATCAATATACTTAACACTACTGAACTGTACACTTAAAAATGGTTAGGATGAAATTTTGTTATGTACATTTTATCACAATTAAAAATATATTTAAACAAGAGTGTAGCTGATCTAAAATTTAGGGTTTTCTCTAAAGTAGTGTTCTTCAACCTGATTGCACATTAGAATCACCTGGGGATTTTTTTTAAAAAAAAAGCAGGAAAAATATTTATTATAGGGTATTAAATGGCTTACTGAATCATTGAGAGAGTTAAAGAAATAGCCTCAAAGCCAAACACCTGGGGAGCTTCTAAAACACCCATACTAATGCCTGGGGCCTCCCCAGCTTCATTAAGTCAGAACGTCTGGGGGTGGGATCTGGCCATGGGTGTTCTTCTACAAGATCCTCAGGTGCAACCACTGTGGCTGTGGCGCACTGCTCTAAGGAACGAGGCTCTCTCCAGCTCAGACCAATGCGAGAAGGCATTTTTTTGAAGCACTCTCTCATCTCTGGGCCACCCCTTTTCAGACTCCCTTTCCTTTCTACTTGCAGTAAACAACCTTCACAGATGGGGGCGCTGCTTAGCCTTTCGGAAGCTTAGCCTGGTAGCAGTTTTCCAAACATTTCCTCAAAGCAAGGTTTCCACAGGTAGCACATCGCCGTTCAACACAACCAGGCGCTTCCTGTAGATCCACTAATACCTAACAAACAGAAAATTTAAATGCCTTTAAATCCATGTAACTGCTTTCTGGTAATCTTTCTTGTAAAGAGTGAATTGGAAAAGCTGCACGGAGGTTATATATTACTGCAAGAATGATGCTCTAGCTCAGTGGTTCTCAGAGTGTGGCCCCTGAGCAAGCAGCATCAGCATTGCCTGGGAACTGGTTCAAATGCACATTCTTGGACCTCACCCCAAACCCACGGAATCAGAAACTCAAGGGGCTCAATGAGCTTGCAGGACCTCACCTCCAGAGATTCTGATTCCACTGGTCTGGGTGGGCTGAGAAGTTGCTTTTCTAACAAGTTCTCAGGTGATGCTGACGTTGTTGGTCCAGAGACCACACTTTGAGAACCATTGTCCTAGTTGACAGAAAAGCTGGATGAAATCTTTTCTTTTTTCTTTTGGAGATGGAGTTTTGCTCGTTGCCCAGGCTGGAGTGCAGTGGTGCGATCTTGACTCACTGCAACCTCTGCCTCCCGGGTTCAAACGATTCTCCTGCCTCAGCCTCGTGAGTAGCTGGGATTACAGGCGCCCACCACCACGCCGGGCTAATTTTTGTATTTTTAGTAGAGGCGGGGCTTCACCATGTTGGCCAGGCTGGTCTTGAACTCCTGACCTTGTGATCCGCCCCCCTCGGCCTCCCAAAGTGCTGGGATTACAGGTGTGAGCCACCGCGCCCGGCCTCTTTTGTCTTTTAAAAGTGCAGCTCGAAAAGATGCTTCATGTCACTCATTGTTAAATAGATGCAAGTTAAAATGACACTTAGAAATCATTTTCCACTGCCCATGTTAGAAAAGATGAAGTTTGCCAATACCCAGGACTGGAAGAAGTGTGGGTAACAGGCCCTCTGGTCCATCCACTGTTGAGGGAGTACACATTGGTATAGGCCTTGGAAGGCAATGTGGTAACATCTGTTCATGTTTTTTAAAGTACAAACCTTTGGTCTAGTAATTCTGCCTTTGGGGACTTTATACTGCATATGTATGTAAACATGTACATGCAAGAATGTTCACTGCAGCATTTTGGTGTTTGTAGCAGCAAAGGTTTGGAAACAACCTAAATTTCCATCAGTAGAGGACTGGTTAAATGAAGGACTACACTGTGGTGAAAAAGGATGAATCTGGCCGGGCGCGGTGGCTGATGCTTGTAATCCCAGCACTTTGGGAGGCTGAGGCGGGTGGATCATTTGAGTTCAGGAGTTCAAGACCAGCCTGGCCAACATGGTGAAACCCTGTCTCTGCTAAAAATACAAAAATTATCCAGGCAGTGGTGACACGTGCCTGTAGTCCCAGCTACTTGGGAGGCTGAGGTGGGAGAATCGCTTGAGCCTGGGAAGGGAGGTTGCAGTGAGCCAAGATTGTGCCACTACACTCCAGTCTGAGTGACAGAGTGAGACCCCGTCTCCAAAAAAAAAAAAAAAAAAAAAAAAAAAAAAAAAGAATCTGATCTGACATGGAATGGCTCTGAGCCATCTTAAGGGATAAAAACAAGGGGTGAAACAGTGGGGCTGGCACCCTCTCCCGTGTTTGCTTGGGTTTTAAGGGATTACATACACACATATCTGACTGAATATTCACTGGGAAATTGCAGCAGATATTGATTTCCTGGGGAGAAAAACTGGGGGTCTAGGGTAGGAAAAAGATCTAGTTTCACTCATTGTATGTAGCCTTTGGCACAGTTTGACTGTTTTTCTCATGTGTATTTATTTCTTTTTAAATATGAATCTAACCAGTTTTAAAATCTAGCAAAAAAATAAGGGAAAAAAAGATGTTTACATTTCCTCAGGCCAGTTTCGACAATGCTAAAGACACCCAACATATCACTCATGCTGGAGCAATGGTTTGTGCTGGGGACATTATTTGCCTGCCTAAGAAATAGTACTGAGAAACTTATTTTAAATTGTTATTAAATATTTACTTCTCCACCGCTTCCTAAGGTTTCTGCCTAATTTTGTCATCTCTTAGCTAACTATATCTTTATGTTTGGTTCCAACATTGAATGAGACTCTATTAGATTATAAACTCCATGAAGCAAAGATATTCTTGCTCTTGTTCACCACTGTATCTGTGAGGCCAGATACTTGGTGGGCACTCAATCAGTGTTACCTAAATGAATGGATGAAACAACAGATGTACAGTGTTCAGCCTCTCTTCTAGGAACTTAAACACAGACAAGGAAGCAGATTTAAAGACATGAAATGACTTGTCCACCCTCACATAATGAGTAGGGCCATGTCTACTCATGACCGTGTCTACTCAAAGTCCAACGCTAGACTTTGGACCATGTCAACCCCAAAGCCCAAGCCCCTTGCCTTATATCACAAATCTACTTAGGTAATAGTACTCCAGAGATTTATGCTTCAATTATTAAACATCTTACTCCCCCCAACCATTTGATTCCTTTTATTATTTTTATTCTTATTTTTTTGAGACGGTCTCGCTCTGTCTCCCTAGGCTGGAGTACAGTGGCATGATCATGGCTCACTGCAGCCTTGACCTCCCCAAGCTCAAGACGTCCTTCCACCTTAGCCTCTTGAGTAGCTGGGACTATAGGCACATGCCACCAAACCCAGCTAATTTCTGATTTTTTGTAGAGATGGGCGAACTTGCCTGGGAGGTTCCACTATGTTGCCCAGGCTGGTCTCGAACTTCTGAGCTCAAGAGGTCTGCCCACCTTGGCTTCCTTTCCCAAAGTGCTGAGATTACAGGTGTGAGCCACTGCACCCAGCTTTGATTCCTTTTAGACCCATCTATCATTACTCAGGTTTGAGACTAATTATTTGAGACCTAGAGCAGATGTTCAGATGTCATTGGGACAGTTACAAAACTCAGATTTGCTACACTACTGAGGAGCAATTACAGCTAATTGTGTAGGCACTTTGGGAGCCTCAATTTAATTAAATCCAAACACATCTGATCTGGATAAAGGGCCAACCCTGCCTGATGTCAGACAGACTGCTGGATGTTCT